>NC_000010.11:14555454-14706969 GCF_000001405.40 Homo sapiens | reverse complement strand
TATTTTTAGTAGATACGGGGTTTCACCGTGTTAGCCAGGGTGGTCTCGATCTCCTGACCTCGTGATCTGCCTGCCTCAGCCTCCCAAAGTGCTGGGATTCCAGGCGTGAGACACGGCATCTGGCCACCATTTTTTAAGTGTATAGTTGGGTGCATCATCCAAAAGACCACCACGATGGCTGAAGAGTAGAAGGGACAGTTTTATTGGCAATATCAATTGGCAAACCAGGAAAAGATAGTCTCCAGCATGGACTAAAGCTGCTCACTCTTTGAAGAGGGGAAGGGCAGGTTGGATTTTATGCCTTACAATGTCTATATTACACAATAGTCATACATATTCAGCAGATTTGGGGAAAAGCTATATATATTTATAAGGATGAGGTCAAGTGCATATGCAATAGGTAAACATACATGTAACATACATCCCAGTTCACTTTGGGGTGAAGTTTTAGCATTAAAATGAGGCAGATATCCCAACACTTTGGGAGGCTAAGGTGGGAGGATCCCTTGAGGCCAGGAGTTCAAGACCAGCCTGGGCAACATAGTGGGACCTTATCTCTACAAAAAAATTTAAAATTAGCCAGGCATGGTGGTGTGTTCTGGTAGTGCCAGCTACTTGGGGGGCTGAGGCAAGAGGGATACTTTAGCTGTCTTAAAAAAAAAACAATTTGGAGTTTGAGGCTGCAATGAGTTATGATTGCACCACGGTACTCCCACCTGGGTGACAGAGTGAGACCCTGTCTCTTAAAATAAAATAGAACAAGGTGGTATATATCAAAAGGTTAAGCATAGGACACAAAGACAGTTTGTGCACAGCCTCCATGAGCTGCTGAAACTGGCTTAAGGTCTGCAGTTGCTTATCAGGAAAGAATGTTTATCAGGCCAATCCTCTGTTCAACAGAGTTGTAGTGGTCTGGGTTGTAAATCAGAATTAGGAAGGGTATGTTAATTTGCCTGATAGCTCCTATTGTATAGGAGTTTAGCAAGAGTGCGGTTTTTCTTGTAAGCCATAGGAATTTAGAAATTTGCCCTGCCGGTTGGGTCCTGAAACCTTGATCTGTAGGTAACTTCTGTTGCCTTAACGTTAGAGTTTCTCTTAGTTGACAAAAGGGCATCTGTTTTGGCCTCTCAGATCACAAGTGGCATCAAATACGTTTACATTGTTGTGCAGTCATCACCACCCTCCATCTCCAGAACTCTTTCGTCTTGCAAAAAACTGAATCTCTGTACCCACTAAACAACTTCCCCTTTTCTTCTCCACCTAGCCCTTGGCAACCATCATTCTGCTTGTTCTCTCTATGCATTTGACTACTCTAGGGACCTTGTAGGAGTGGAACCATATATAGTATTTGTCTTTCTGTGGCTAGCTTATTTCTTTGATTATAATGTCTTCAAGATCCAGTTATGTTGTGGTGTGTGTCAGAATTCCCTTCCTTTTTCAAGCTGAATCACATTCCATTGTATGGCTAGACCACACTTTGTTTATCCATTTTTCTATCAGGGAAAATTTGGGTTGTTCACACCTTTGGCTATTGTAGACAATGCTGCTAGGAGCATGGGTGTGCAAATATCCATTCTAGACTCTGCTTTTAATTCTTTTGGGTCAATATGCAGAAGTCTAATTGCTGGCTCATAGGGTAGTTGTATGTGTAATTATTTTTTAGGAATGAGTACTGTTTTCTATAGCACCTGCACCATTACAGTTCCCCCAGCAGTGTACAAGGGTTCCAGTTTCTCTACATTCTCATCACTGCTTATTATTTTCTTTTTTTTAAATAGTGGTCATTCTAATGGGTGTGAAAGTCGTATCTCATTGTGGTTTTGATTTACATTTCCCTAATGATTAGTGATGTGGTGCAGCAATCCATGAGCTTATTGGCATTTGTGTATCTTCTTTGGAGAAATGTTTATTCAAGTCCTTTGTCTATTTTTTTTTTTTTTTTTTTTGTGACAGGGTCTCACTCCATTGCTCAGTCTGGAGTACAGTGGCGCCATCTTGGCTCGCGGCAAGCTCTGCCTCCCGGGTTCAAGTGATTCTCCTGCCTTAGCTTCCCAAGTAACTGGGATTACAGTTGCCCACCACCATGCTTAGTTAATTTTTGTATTTTTAGTAGAGATGGGGTTTCATCATGTTGGCCAGGCTGGTCTCAAACTTCTGATCTCAAATAATCTACCCGCCTTGGCCTCCCAAAATGCTGGGATTACAGGCATGAGCCACCACACCTGGCCCTTTTGCCTATTTTGAATTAGATTGTTTGTTTTGTTCTTATCGAGTTGTAGGCATTCTTTATATATTCTGTATATTAATCCCATATCAGATCCATTATTTACAAATATTTTTGCTCATTGTATGTGTTATACTATTTTGATTTCACCTTAGATTCAGTTAAATATGCAGTTTAATTTTTAACCATCTTGAACTTTGAAGGCTGCCCAGTCTTGGCTGGGCGTCCCCTCTGTATAATTTGTAGATTTTGTCAGAGACCTGTCTCTGGGTAGACCCACCTTTTTGAAGATAGGCTACAACCACACAATATTTTTGGGGTAAACAGTTGGAAACTGTTTGTTATTGGATTCTTCTGTGACACTTAGCATTTTGTTGGCTATTAGTTAAAACCTGATCCTGTGTGTTTGGATGACTCATTTATTGTATTTATTTGATACATACTAACACACACACACACACACACACACACACACAGAGCAATTTACCTAAACCTTTACAATTAGCCTCTTTGATAATTTACAAATTTAGGAGAAAATAAAGTGATCGGATTTCTCCTAAGCCTTAAAATCTCTAAGGGCATTTAACATTCTTCAGTGATGTACAGGTAGACCACCTGGATGTACTGTCAGAGCATAGAAGGTGGCTCCTACCATCTGTAGAATGGGAACCATGATTGCTGTTTCTCTCAAAAGGTTTGTGCAAAACCCACAAGGTTCACTTAATACCCACTGGGAGGAGAACCCAGTTTTCTGTCCAAACATTTTAGCATTTTTCTCTTTCTTTTCCTCTCCCCCTTTAAAAATGTTTGCTCTTAAATCATCACGCCTGGTTCTCTACTCAAGCCCTTCAGTCGCTGCAGAACCTGGGGAGAAACAGAAATTGCAGTTTATTATGATCAGCTGCTCATAAATGGCAACCTTAAAAAAATCGAGACAGCATTTATCAAGTCCTGATGTAAGTGTGAAAACTGGAAGCTTTTCCTGACTGATTGCTAAAGCAGAATTGGATACCACATTTTGTTATAATTCAAAGAAGACTTAAAATGAGTCAGTGTCATTCTTGAAAGATTTGTTTTTATTTTGTGTGTTTTTCAAACTTAAGAAGACCTGGGCTGGGCGCAGTGGCTCACGCCTGTAATCCTAGCACTTTGGGAGGCCGAGGCAGGTGTATCACTTGAGGCCAGGAGTTCGAGACCAGCCTGGCCAACATGGTGAAACCCTGTCTCTACTAAAGATACAAAAATTAGCAGGGGTGATGACGCACGCCTGTAGTCCCAGCTACTTGGGAGGCTGAGGCACCAGAATTGCTTGAACCCAGAGGCGGAGGTTGCAGTGAGCCGGGATCACAAGATCATGCCACTGCCCTCCAGCCTGGGGGACAGAGAGAGACTCTGTCTCAGAAAAAAAAAAAAAAAAAGAAGAAGAAGGAAAAGGAAACAAACTTAGGAAGACTTTGTAGGAGCAAAGGGAAATCTTGTGAAATCTTTCCCTTTGCCCTTGGAGGGTTCATTGAAAAATCAACTGACAAAGGCTGATGATTAGGAGAAAAGGCAAATTCATTAGCACGCACATGGGGAGAGCCACAGTGATGATCCCATATCCCATTGGGGCCCAACCTTTGTGGCCTTACCTCAGAGGGGAGGGAGAGATGGGGAATATAGGTACTTTGGTTGAGGGGCAATACCTGATTACCTGGGAGAATGAATGGGTGGGGGAATAGAGATTAACTTGTAAATAGTTCTTTTTGGAAACTGAATGAGCCTGAGAGATAAACATGATTTTGTAATAGGGTCGATCAGGTCCGGTGACATTCTTGGTCTTTTTTACTGCAATAGATAATGAGACAACAGGGAGAGGAAGGAAAAACAATTCTTGGTGGGTCTGTCTGGTCTTTCTGTAGGTAGGGGAGAAGCCTCTTCCAGTGTCTGTTGATCTTTGAGGGCAAAATACTCATTTTAAAAGGAAGCCATGTTTTGGGGTGGACTTCGCTGTACTCCTTCAACCCAAAACTTATTCTGCTATGGGAGAGCTTATCTTCCTGTTGCAAAGCACCAAATGCATGGCTGTCTACTAAATTTTTAAAATAATACACTTTGGCCAGGTGCAGCAGCTCATGCCTGTAATCCCAACACTTTGGGAGGCCAAAGTGGGTGGATCACCTGAGGTCAGGAGTTTGAGAACAGCCTGGCCAACATGGTGAAACCCCATCTCTACTAAAAAATACAAAAAAAGTATTTGGGTGTTGTGGTGTGTGCCTGTAATCTCAGCTACTCAGGGGGCTGAGGCGGGAGAATCGCTTGAACTCAGGAGGTGGAGTGAGCCAAGATCGTGCCATTGCATTTCAGCCTGAGAATAAAGTGAGACTGTGTCTCAAAAAAAATAAAATAAACATAAAATAAATAATGATACATGAATATTGAATCAAAAACTTTATGAAAAGGAGCAACAACATTCCAGCAAAAGGTTAATTTAACTTCATTTGTCTTAGGAAAAATGCTGAGCCTAAGATGGAGTCCTAGGATATCCATGTACATATATTCCAAATACATAAAATATTGTGGATGAGCATAAACAAGCTATGTGCGTGTCTTTGTTCCTTAAGAATATTGCATGAAATGCACTCGTTTGTGGAACAAATTAATTGTTGTCATTTTTGCATTTACTTATCAGTATATTCCCTGCTCTTCATCTGAAAAGAAGAAATACAGGAATTTTTATTTCTGCAATATGTTTTTTGGGTGGGCAGCTATTGCTGCAGCAGGAATCCTGAACCTCTGAAAGTTTGTTTTCGAAGACTGCTTTTGTTGCAAAAATTGTCTTATTAGATTTTCTTGGCCAAGGAGTAAATTTCAGTGTACTGAACTATTCCTGAATCTCTCCAGCCCTGCTCCAGGTTCCAGGGACTCCCCTGCTCTTTTCACACGCCAGCAGAGGGATGAGTTTTACAAAACGCCATTGTTTCCAAAGGTTACAGGTTTGATATCATACAATGCCTCTGTCCGCCATGCTTTTTGTTGGAAAAAAAAAAAACAACTCTTTGCCTAGGGCCGGTCATTGCATTCTTTCTGGTTTCCTGATGCGTAACACAAGATGATGTTGGGAGATGACTTTGGCATTCCTTTTAGTTCCCTTTCGATGATTCTGTGAGAGATAGGTCTATATTCTTGGAGCTGTGAGGACTATTTAAAATGAAGGTTTTTGGCCAGGCATGGTGGCTCATGCCTATGATCCCAGCACTTTGGGAGGCCGAGGTGGGAGGATCACCTGAGGTCAGGAGTTCAAGACCAGCTTGGCCAACATGGTAAAACCCCATCTCTACTAAAAATACAAAAATTAGCCAGGGGTGGTGGGGCATGCCTGGGATCCCAGCTTCTCAGGAGGCTGAGGCTAGAGAATCGCTTGAACCTGGGAGGTGGAGGTTGCAGTGAGCCGAGATCACACCACTGCACTCCAGCCTGGACGACAGAGTGAGAGTCTGTCTCAAAAAATAAATAAATAAAATTAAAAATAAGAAATAAATAATAAAATGAAGAGTTTCTGCCTGGCATTAAGCTTTTAAAAAATAAATTTATTCCAGGGAATTAAATGAGATTAACCTTGTCCCTGTCAATGTCAGAGAACATAAGGTGAAATTAGGACATTAAAAAATGTCTTAATAGAAGTGGCTTAAAATCAGAGGCATTCAATGCTTCCATAAAAAAGCAGTGGTGGAGAGAGTGTTTTCCAAGGAAAATATGACTAGGTTTCACTTCTGGTCCTTGTCCTGGCACCAAGAGAAAGCTCTTGCTGGATTACAGCACCCCAGGGGCCACATGTGGGGTGAGGTGTGATGTGTGTGTGTGCCCCAGGTTATAAGTGAGCATAGCTCTACTTTTGCACTCACCCTAGTGCGTTTTTTTTTTTTTTTTTTTTTTTTTGCCTCTTGCCATCAGCATCCAAGTGACCAGCTGGGCCTGTAGTTGATCCAGAGCTGGTGTGATTTCAAGTAGCTTCAGCTGTCAGAGTTGCCAGCAGAAAATGGTTATTTAGTCTGTTTCAACATCTGGGGGAAAAAAGCATCATTGTTGTTTATGTCAGAAAATGGATGTAGAGGGAGTTGCAGCAGATTCCACATCATGGATCAAGCTCAGGATGAAGGCAGGGGCACAGGCTGGGCTTTCAGACTCCCACCCCACCCCTCATTCTCATGGTCATTTCTGCATCAGGACATTGATCTTTTTATTGCATCTCTTCTGATATTGTCACTAATGACTATCCCTGCGTTAAATTCGATGCGAGCACTGAAATACCTTTAAGGTTTGCTTCCATATACGGCTGTTCATGGTGACAACGATTTCCTGGAGCTCTACAAATTGCCCAGAGGAATAGCTCATATTCAAAGAATAGTTCTCCTGCCCAGGGGTTATCTCTCAGTGCTTTGCTGACTCTCTCCTGGCTTTTGCTTGTCCCCATTTAGTTCGCCACTCTCCCTGCATCACAGTTGCCAGTGCTGCTTTTTAAAAAGGGACGCCTGGCCTGGCGCGGTGGCTCACACCTGTAATCCTAGCACTTTGGGAGGCCGAGGCAGGTAAGTCACTTGAGGTCAGGAGTTTGAGACCAGCCTGGTCAACATGGTGAAACCCAGTCTCTACTAAAAATACGAAAATTAGCCAGGTGTGGTGGCACACGCCTGTAATCCCAGCTACTCGGGAGGCTGAGGCAGAAGAATCGCTTGCACCCGGGAGGTGGAGGTTGCAGTGAGCTGAGATTGCGCCACTGCATTCTAGCCTGGGCAACAGAGCGGGAGTCCATCTCAAAAATAATAATAATCATAAATAAAAAAATAAAAAGTGACTCTTCACTATCCCCTGCACTCGCTGGCGCTCCACAGGCCAACCCAGCCTGTAATCTGTCGCCAGACTAACCTTCAGGATGGACAATCCTTTTGCTCCATTGCAGGCTTCCTGCTGCCTTGAAAATTAAGTGAAAATCCTTACCATGACAGGCAAACACTGTACAATGTGTGTGATGGTGAATTTTCTGTCAGCTTGACTGGGCTAAGTGGTGCCCAGATAGCTGGTAAAGCATGATTTCTGGGTGTGTCTGTGAGGGTGTTCCTGGAAGAGATTGGCATTTGAGTTGGTGGACTGAGTAAAGTAGCTATCCCTTGCTGATGTGGGCAGGCACCCTCCGATTCATTGCGGGCTTGATAGAACAAAATGGTGGAGGAAGGGCGAGTTTGTTCTCTCTGCTTGATCTGACCCATCCACTTTCACCTGCCCTTGAGCATCAGTGTTCCTGGTTCTCCGGCCTTTGGGCTTGGACCCGGACTTACACCATCGGCTCCCTGGTTCTCGTTCCCTGGGACTTGCTCTGGGACTACACCACCAGCTTTCCTGGGTCTCCAGCTTTCAGATGACAGACTGTGGGACTTCTCAGCCTCCATAATTGTGTGAGACAATACTTCATAAGAAATCTCCTTCTCCACATCTATATAAATACATCAACCCATCAAAATATCTATATCTCTATAGCTTCTTTGTTCTATTCCTCTGGGGGAACGCTGTTTAATACAGCATGGTCCATACTGTTTCTCCCTGTTCCACAATTTCCTTCTCTACAACCAGAACCTGTTACTTCCTATCAAGTACCAGACTTTCCTTGCCTTTGTTCCCTCTGTCTCTTTGTTTTCAGTGTACCCCTGCCCCCCACCTCTGCCTGCTCGCAGGGTACCCACTCTCCATGCTCCAACTCAGACCTGTGCTGTTCTCAAGATTTTTGTCACCTCTGAAAGAGATGTGGAGAACCCCCACAGCACGTGGCATGTGCTTATGCCTCATTTCTGGTAATTCTACCTACCTCCTATTATTAGGCTGCTGAAAAGTAATCGTGGGTTTTGCCATTACTTTCAATGGCAAATACTGCAATTGCTTTTGCACCAACTCCAAACAAGTTATTTGTGCTTATGTCTCAGGCTCAAAGAGGGCCGGGCAACGTCTTCTAATTTGTCATTCCCTGAAAGCCGACATCTGTTTTGCATAAGATAACCCTGAGTCAGCAGGGATACAGTAAAATGAATGCCAGGCTGAATGTCAGGCAGGTCTGGAGCTGAGTCACAGCTGTAGGACCTTGGTCAACTCACGTGTTTTTGAGCCCCGGCATGTCCACATATGAAATGAGTGTGACAGCATGTTTCTCAAGGGGCTGCTATATGGCTCACATGAGATAATATACATGAAATGTGATCATCAAATGATGATGTGCAATGCACATATTAAGCATAAACAGTAAATATTTGGAGAAGATTAAGTTTAAAAGTTTGCAAATGGTTTCCAAAAGTCTCCAGGACACAGATATTCAGAGAATCCTCCCGGATTAGCAGAACTTTGTTCACCCCTGCCAGTATCACTTCTTTCTCCTTTTGCTCAAATCACTCTTTCAGTTGGGCCTTTGATCACAGAATTAGAAAGACACAGGAATGGACCTCAGTAGATTTAGACCTCTCTTCTAGCAAAACCACAATGATTTAAGTTGGCTTAGGAGTACTACTGCATGAATGATTTGTTTTCATGCATGTAAAAATTACTCTGAGCATACATTATTTTAAATCTTGGTGTTGATATTTCTTCTTTTTTTTTTTTGAGATGGAGTCTTGCTCTGTTGCCCAGGCTGGAGTGAAATGGCATGATCTCGGCTCATTGCAACCTCCACCTCCTGGGTTCAATCGATCCTTGTGCGTCAGCCTCCTGAGTAGCTGGGACTACAGGCACGTGCCACCTAGCCCAGCTAATTTTTGTATTTTTAATAGAGATGGGGTTTTGCCATGTTGGCCAGGCTGGCCTCAAACTCCTGATCTCAAGTTATCCACCTGCCTTGGCCTCCAAAAGTGCTGAGATTACAGGCCTGAGCCACCATGCCCAGCCCTTGGTATCTGTATTTCAAGAACAAAAGTTGAGTTGGGGCTGGGTCACCATGTGGCAAGTGGCCTCACAGCAATAAAGGTACAACATTGTAGAAACAGTCTAGGTAGAGTCCCTTCGAGACTGATGTCAGGAACTCCATGTGCACGAGGAGACAGCAGCTGTATAGGTCTGAGCACTAGGCAATGAATGCATTTTGCAGAGGAATAAAATAGCTTTCAAGAACACCTTTGTATTTGTCCTAGAGGTAAAGTCTTTAGAAAATGTCTATTTCTATTTCTCTCATCTCTGTTCCTTCAAGGCTATCGTAAGAGGAAGAAAAACAGATTCTGGAACACAGTAGTTTACACATTGTTTGCAGCCAAATTTGAATTTGGCCTACAATTAATTCCTGGGCTAGCACGGCAAACTTTCCAATTACATAAATGCAGAGCCCTGCATTATTTCAAAAACACGTGGTACTTGCTCTGAAAATGATTCCGGATTCCAGGCCATGGAAAATCTGAAGGAACTGTTCTGCCTCCATTTCGGGGACCTGGTTAAGTTGGGAGAAGGCTGGGTTGGGGGGTCTCAGGAGAGGAGGAGAGGACGAAAGAAGAGTTGGCTATGAGCTGATGAAGCGGCAGAGGCAATGTGGCAGCCCTTTCCAGCTCCTCTTTAAGGGGCTGAGATTTTTACGTCCTTGCACTCCATAGCCTCAGCCAGAGCCCCAAGCACAGAACTGGCTCCCCATCCAAGCTTTGAGCCAAAAAGCGTGCACTCTAATGACCTTTCTCCCTGTGCCTCCCCATTTTTTTTCTCTCTCTCTAGACTGTCAATGTATCAGACATCATCTGAATAAAGTTGTTAGGCCTGGTTGCGTAGTAGTGGGGGTTGGGGACACAGTTGATTCAGGGCCACAGTAAACAGAACAGAGAGGAGCAGACCTTTGACACTTTTCAGAGATGCTAAAGGAGCAAATCACTGAAATTGAACCACAGTGTCCCTGGGCACAGCCTACGGGACCTCGGGGTCTGCTCCCTCATCCCACCCTTCTCTGCAAAGTCAGATTGAGTAGACAGGCACAATCCACATTCAGAAGCATCTGCTGAGTTTGAGATAGACACCTTTCTGAGATTTGTTAACAAGGGACGGAGATCGATGGATATTTTGTTACTGTAAACACACTGCAAACACTGAAGAAGTAATCGAAACCTCCCAACAAAGAAAATCCCAGGACCAGATGATTTCATGACTGAATCCTGCCAAACATTTAAGGAAGAATTTATACCAATACTTCTTAAGTTCTTTACCCCCCACCACCTCCCCCGAAAAAATAGAGCTAGAGAGAATACTTCCAAACACATCTTATGAGGCCAGGATGCTTGGTACCTAAGCCAGGCAAAGACATTACAAGAAAACTACAGGTCAGTATCTCTGATGAATACTGATGCAAAAATCCTCAATAAAATATTAGCAAATAGAATCCAAGAATACATCAAAAAGATTTTACATCATGACCAAGTGGGATTTATTCCTAGCATGCAAGCCTGGTTTTAACATATGCAAATCAATCCATGTAATACATCACATTAACAGAATGCGAGATTAAAAGCCACATGGCCACATGGTTACCTCAGTTGATGCAGAAAAAGCATTCAGCAATGCTCAACATTCTTTCTTGATATAAACTCTGAACAGTTTAGGTACAGAATGAAAGTTCCTCAAAACAGTGAAGGCCATCTAGGAAAAA
The DNA here is from genome assembly GCF_000001405.40 of Homo sapiens. Classification (NCBI taxonomy): domain Eukaryota; kingdom Metazoa; phylum Chordata; class Mammalia; order Primates; family Hominidae; genus Homo; species Homo sapiens. The sequence goes on along the minus strand of NC_000010.11, from coordinate 14,696,113 downwards.
CCCACAGCTAATGTTATAATAAATGGGGAACAACTGAAAGGTTTTTCACTAAGATATGGTACAAGTTAAGGATGCCCACTCTCACTTCTTCTATTTGACACGGTACTGGAAGTACCAGCAAGAGCAATCACAGAAGAAGAAGAAAGAAAAGGCATCCGAATTAGAAGAGAAAAGTGAAATTATCTCTATTTGCACATGATATGAGCCCATATGTAGAAAACCCCAAAGATTCCACACACAAACAAACTGTTAAAACTAGTAAGTGAATTCAGTAAAGTTGAAGGATACAAAATCAACACACAAAAACCAGTAGCATTTCTATAAATAACAACCTAGCTAAAAAATAAATTAAGAAAACAATCTTTTCTATGATAACATCAAGAAAGTACTTAGGAATAATCTTAACCAACAAGGTGAAAGATTTGTACACTGAAAACTATAAAACATTAGTGAAATAAATTGAAGATAAAAATACATAGAAAAATCTCTCCTGCTCATGGATTGGAAGAATTAATGGTGTTAAAATGTCCCTACTACCCAAAGGAACATACAGATTCAGTGCAATCCCTATCAAAATCCCAGTGGCATTCTTCACAAAAATAGGAAAAAAATTCTAAAATTCATATGGAAACACAAATGAACCCAAATAGCCAAAGCTGTCTTCAGAAAGAACTGGAGGCATAACACTTCCTGATATGAAATTGTATTATAAAGCTATGTAATTAAACAGCATGGTAATGGCATAAACATAGACACACAGAGCAGTAGAACAGAATAGAGAGCCCAGATATAAATCCAAACACATATGGTCAACTAATTTTCAAAAAAGGCATCAAGAGAACACATGGGGAAAGGAGGGTCTCTTCAGTAAATGGAGCTGGAAAAACTGGATTTCCACATGCAAGAAAATGAAATTGTACCCTTATCGTACAATGTACACAAAAATCAACTCAAAAGGGACAAAAGACCTAAACATAAGACCTGGAACTGTAAAATTCCTGAAAAGGGAAACCGGGGGAAAGCTCCTAGACATTGGCCTTGGTAATGACGTTTTGCATATCACACCAAAAACTTAGGCCATAAGATTGAAAATAAATAAACGGGACTATATCAAACTAAAAAGCTTCTACACAGCAAAGAAAACCATCATCGTAGTGAAACAGCAACCTATACATTGGGAAAAATATACAAAATATATCTCTGATAAGGGGCTAATATCTACAATTTATAAAGATCTCATAAAACTCAATAAAAGAAAAATAAATAACCTGATTTAAAAAATGGTCAAAAGACCTGAACAGACATTTCTCCAAAGAAATGGCCAACATTAATATGCAAAGGTGCTCAGTGTCATTAGTCATCAGGAAAATGCAAATGAAAACCACTATGAAATTTCACCTCACATCCATTAAGATGGCAATTATCAAAAATTCAAAACACGGTGTCCCGCGCCTGTAATCCCAGCACTTTGGGAGGCTGAGGCAGGCAGATCACCTGAGGTCAGGAGTTCGAGGCCAGCCCTGACCAACATGGAGAAACTCTATCTCTACTAAAAATACAAAATTAGCCGGGCATAGTGGCGCATGCCTGTAATCCCAGCTACTCGGGAGGCTGAGGCAGGAGAATCGCTTGAACCCAGGAGGCAGAGGTTGCAGTGAGCCAAGATCACACCACTGCACTCCAGCCTGGGCAACAAGAGCAAAACTCCATCTCAGAAAAAAAGGCAAAACATAACAAATATCGGTGAGAGTGCAGAGAAAAGGGAACCCTTATGTACTGTGGAAGGGAATGTAGGTTGGTGCAGCCATTATGGAAGACAATATGGAAGTCTTAAAGAAATTAAAAATAGAACTACCATATGCCCTAGCAATCCCTCTGTTAGACATATATCCAAGGGAAATGAAATCACCACCTCATAAAGATATCTTTACCCTCAGGTTCCCTGCAGCATTATTCCTACTAGCTAAGCTATGGAAACAACCTAAGTGTCCATCAGTGCATGAATGGATAAAGAAACTGTGGTATATACATACAGCGGAATATCATTCAGCCTTAAAAAAGAAGGTCCAGCCCTTTACCACAACACAGATGAACCCGGAGAGCAATATGCTAAGTGAAATAGGCTAGACTCAGAAAGAAAAATATTGCATGATCAAATTTTCATGTGGAATCTAAAAAAACCAACAACAAATACTGTACATAGACACATCATCTCACTTACCTCACTTACATGTGGAAAAGCAAATACTGTTTACACTATTACATGGTCACTTACATATGGAAAAAAAGTCAAACACTTCATACAGAGGTAGAGAATAAAACAGTGGTTCCCAGGGGTGGGAAGGGTAGGTGGGGAGAAGAGATGGGGACATGGAGGTCAGTGGGTACAAAGTAGCAGATACGTAGGATAACATGTCTAGGAATGTTATGTACAACATGAAGACTGTCACTAAAAAAAACTGTACTGTATTTGCCGTTCCTGCTAGATGAGTAGATTTTAGCCGCTCTTGCCACACAAAATTAAACAAAAGAGTAACTATGTGAGGTAATGGATGTGTTAATTTGCTTCACTCTAATAACCATTTTACTATCCATATGTATCCCATAGTGTCCTGTTGTATACCTTTTTTTTTTTTTTGAGACGGTGTCACTCTGTCGCCGAGGCTGGAGTGCAGTGGCACCATGTCAGCTCACTGCAACCTCCGTCTCCTGGGTTCAAGGAATTCTCCTGCCTCAGCGTCCCAAGTAGCTGGGATTACAGGCACCCACCACCACGCCCTGCTAGTTTTTTAATATTTTTAGTAGAGATGGGGTTTCCCCATGTTGGCCAGGCTGGTCTCGAACTCCTGACCTCAGGAGATCCACCCACCTTGGCCTCCCAAAGTGCTGGGATTACAGGCGTGAGCCACCGCGCCCGGCCATATACCTTAAATATATACAATAAAAGTTATATTTAAAAAACACACACAGAGGTAGACTAATTGAAAGTTAGAATTCCACTTGATAAAAGACATAAGTCACCAAGTCATCAGCTCTCTGCGATGTCATTTACCATGGCTGGGTTGACTTGGTTGATTACTCCAAAGCAGTAACAGAGGACCCTAGTGAAGGCTGACCGCATCACTGCGATTTTTGCATGGATCGTCATAGCCCTGTGCACGGAATGATCTCTTGAGGTTGTTTCTAGCTATAAGATCTATAACTCTATGAACCACCTCTATTTATTATGGCTCGTAAAAGTCACTGGCCACATATTTTATTCTCACGTGGCACATAAAGGATCAGAGAGGATAATTGAATAACCCCGGCCCGTGCAGCAAGACAACGTTCATTCTGAAACCACACTTGGGCTATTTGAAGCTCAGAGCCCACTGCCTCACCCACCTTTCTTTGTTGATCAATTGCATACAGCAAAGGAAGAGTGACAATTTATCATCCAAATCGACACTCTTGAGAGTACACGGGGACACCATTAATAGTCATGCTGAGACGACAGTCCTAAACCATGACAAACGGGTATGTTCAGTAGAAGGGGAAAGTAAGGTAGATTTTTATGAGGGCATCAATGGGTCTTAAATATGAATTCTCCAGAATTTATGAGGTACTTTAAATTTACAACCGTTTATATTGCTTGCCACTGATAAAAACCCTCCTGTGTGGCTAGGTTATCTGCCCTTGTCCCTAAAGGAAGTGTACGATGAAGTCACCCCACCCTCAGCCCCACTCACAAGTAGAACAGCCTGAAATTCCAAATGGGTTTAGTACCCCTCCTACGAATACCCCAATCTCCAATAAAGTGATAATGACTAGATGGTTCCAAGGGAGCAGAGCCGCCAGGGGAGCTCATCTTTGGTGTGCCCCAGGGGTACGCCTTGTTTTGCTTGTCCCTTCTCCTTTCTTTCCACCCAGAGCAAATTGTGGGTGGATGTCTGATTGTATCATGCAGAATCCAAAGGGGGCTCCCCTCGATTGCCTTCCCAGCCTGGTTCTTACTGTGTGGATGGAATAACAGAGATTAAACCGCAATTGCAGGATAGCACTTGCCTCCAAACCTGTAACTGTCTCTTCTTCACCAAACACCGTTTGGTCATGGTCAAGGATTGTCTATTCCTAGGAGAGATGATGCAGTGATGTAGGTAGAAGCATGGGGTCTTCGCTCCAGATGCAGGTGCAAGTCCAGATGCTGCCTACTCCTAGTTTAATTTTTTTTTTTTTTTTTTGTGACAGAGTCTCACTCTGTAGCTCAGGCTGGCTTGCAGTGGCACGATCTCAGCTCACTGCAACCTCCGCTTCCCAGGTTCAAGCAATTCTCCTGCCTCAGCCTCCTGAGTAGCTGGGATTATAGCCACCTGCCACCATGCCTGGCTAATTTTTTGTATTTTCAGTAGAGATGGGGTTTCACCATGTTGGCCAGGCTGTCTCAAACTTCTGACCTCAAGTGATCCAACCGCCTTGGCCTCCCAAAGGGCTAGGATTACAGGCATGAGCCACCACACCCAGCCAAGTTTAATGTTTTAAGCCTCAGTTTTCCCTTCTGTTGAAGGAGGAAGATAAGGCCTGTTTTATAGGGTTGTCGTAAAGATAAATTCAATATTGTGTGAAAAGCTTTCAGCTCACTGCCTGGCTCATACTGGGCCTTTGTGATTACGGAAGTTTCGACCCCGAAGCAGCAGCCTTACCACTCAGCAGGGCGAGGGAGCTTGGCCCGCAGAGTAACCTGCAGAGCGCAGAACTGGCACTTGATCATGTCTTAGACTTTCTCCATTTGCTCTTTTCTTTTGGAGACATGGACTCTGCAGGACTGAGCTAACCTCTGTACTCTGAGAGTACAGATCCCATGTTTCTCATTCTTCCCTCACCCATAGCTACTGAGATCATATTTTCTGATCCCCAAATTAAAGTGCATAGTTTAGGGCTGGGTACGGGGGCTCATGCCTGTAATCCCAGCACTTTGGGAGGCTGAGGTGAGAGGATCACTTGAACCCAGGAGGTCGAGGCTGCAGTGAACTATGATAGTACCACTGCACTCCAGCCTGGGTGACGGAAGCTAGCCCATGTCTCTAAAAATAAGCCTGATCATAACAAGGAATGTTGTCACGAAGACCGTGTCATACAACCCAGGAAGTATGCTCTCCCATTGTGCTTTTCACTTTGTTGGCTATCAATCAATCAATCAATCAACAAATGCCCATGAAATAATGAATGGATCAATCAGACATCATCACTACCATCATAGCATATATATAGTTTTTGCATCCTGTTCTCCCTGATCTGTTTCTTATATATCAGTCAAGGTTCCAGCAGGAAACAGATGGCCCTCAAATTAGAATAATTCAAAGAGAGCTTAATAAAGGGGCTAGTTGGCCGGGCGTGGTGGCTCACGCCTGTAATCCCAGCACTTTGGGAGGCAGAGGTGGGGGGATCACAAGGTCAGGAGATCGAGACCATCCTGGCTAACAAGGTGAAACCCTGTCTCTACTAAAAATACAAAATATTAGCTGGGCATGGTGGCGCGCAACTGTAGTCCCAGCTACTCGGGAGGCTGAACAGGAGAATCACTTGAACCTGGGAGGTAGAGGTTGCAGCGAGCTGAGTTCACACCACTGCACTCCAGCCTGGGCGACAGAGCGAGACTCCATCTCAAAAAAATAAAAAAATAAAAAAATAAAGGGGCTAGTTGTGAAAGTATGGGTGAGATGTAGAGCAGCCACCAGGGATACTAGTAATGGCAAAAGAGCTGTGACAACTCCTACACCCAGAAGGATGAGGGGAGGAAGCAGAAACAGGAAACAGAGGCAGAGCCTTTCATAGGAAAGACTGCCTTGAAAGGAGCCTTGATCTTCAGTGACCTGAAGGTGAGAGCCAGTGGAGTAAGTGTCTTGACCTCACTCTCCTCCGTCACTTAGATCTGCTAGTGATCTCCATCGACTGAATCCGGTGAGAAGCCAGAGGGCAAGGGAACCCATTACCCATTGGTGTGATCAATCAACAGGCAGGAGGAGAAGGATGGGTCACATGGAGGATATTGGATACATGTGCTGGATCTGAGATGACAGGTGTCTCCCTCCCTCCCTCCCTCCCTCCCTCCCTTCCTTCCTTCCTTCCTTCCTTCCTTTTGTCTTTCTTTCTTCTTTTTTTCTTTCTATTTCTTTTTTTGAGGCAGAGTCTGTCACCGAGGCTGGAGTGCTGTGGTGCGAGCTCAGCTCACTGCAGCCTCGACCTCTCCAGGCTCAAGTAATCCTCCTGCCTCAGCTTCCAGAGTAGCTGGGATTATAGGAATGCACTACCACACCCAGCTAATTAAAAATTTTGTTTTGTAGAGATGGGCTCTTGCTATATTGCCCAGGTTTGTCTCAAACTTCTGGGCTTACATGATCCTCCTGCCTCAGCCTCCCAAAATGCTGGGATTACAGGTGTGAGGCACTGTGCCCAGCCAAGGTATCTTTTTTAAACAAAAATTAAAAGCGAAAAATATTGTCAGAGGCTTTGTTCCTTAAGTAGTTCCCCACCTGGAATGCCACCACCTCCACCTAACTGGCATGTGTCCTATTCCCTGAGAAGCCTTCCTCGTACTTACCTCTCATTACCGTCAGGCCAGAAGGTGTCTTTCCTCAGGACTCCTGAGTGCATTGCTGTAAAGTCTACTCTAGCATTTCCCAGTTTGCAATGATTGCTTTCCTTCTCTAGGAGCTTCTTTTTTTAAAAGAAAATTTTTATTCTTTTTTTTTTTTTTTGAGATAGGGTCTTATTCTGTTGCCCAGGCTAAAGTGCAGTGGTGCGGTCTCAGCTCTGTGCAGCCTCGACCTCCTGGGTTCAAGCAATCCTCCCACCTCAGCCTCCTGAGGAGCTGGGACTTCAGGTGCATACTATCAAGCCTGGCTAATTTTTGTATTTTTTTTAGAGATGAGGTTTTGCTATGTGGCCCAGGCTGGTCTCGAACTCCTGAGCTCAAGCAGTCTGTCCACCATTACAGGTGTGAGCCACCGCACCTGGCCACCAGGAGCTTCTTGAGGACAAGGTCCATGTGTTGGTTCTCGTATTTCCCACACCAGCCCAGCGACATGCACATAGTAGATGCTCAGTCAATGTTTGTTGAATAAATGAAATGAAATGTTTCCCATGAAAGGAAAGAATGCTTGCCCTTAGATTACAATAAAGTCCTCCTTTGGTTTTCTAGCCCAGAATCGACCCCTTGTCCCAAAGAATACATCTTTTCTCCCTTAGACTAGTAGGCATGTTCAGACCAACAGAAAGAGGTCAAAGGGCATGGATGGATTTGAACATCTGGATTGTGTTAGCAGCAGCTGTGGGAAGTGGCAAACCAGCAGGAAGGTGTGGGCGGAGAGGGTGGTCAGACTGTGGAATGATGTCTGGAAAATGGAAGCTCTGTTTACCGACGCCTTGTAAAGAAACGTTGAGCACCACTTAAATTCACACTCAAATTCTAGGTAACATCTCTTTGCTTTCTGGAAGCTCTGACAAAAGAGACACTAAAACAAATGGTGTATGTCTTGTTATGAAGATCAGAGGCATTGACAGGAGGCTTGGGAAGGCTGAACAATTGAAAATCTTTTTAATGAGTTTATTGTTTGTCGTTTGGTTGACTTTTGGTTGGTTGTGTGTACGTGTATTTATGTGTGTACATGCATGTGTGTGTATGCATGCCTGTGTGTGTGTATTAGTCACAGTTCTCTAGAGGGACAGAATAGGACAGATGTATACATGAAAGGTAGTGTATTAAAGATGCTGACTCACGCGATCACAAGGTGAAGTCCCACAATAGGCCTTCTGCAAGCTGAGGAGCAAGAAAGCCAGTCCGAGTCCCAAAACCTCAAAAGTAGGGAAGCCGACAGTGCAGCCTTCAGTCTGTGGCCAAAGGCCCGAGAGCCCCTGGCAAACCACTGGTGTAAGCCCAAGAGTCCAAAAGCTGAAGAACTTGGAATCTGATGTTCAAGGGCAGGAAGCATCCAGCACAGGAGAGAAACGAAGGCTGGAAGACTCAGCAAGTCAGCTTCTCCCAATTTCTCCTGCCTGCTTTCTTCTAGCTGTGCTGGCAGCTGATTAGATGGCGCCCACCCAAATTGAAGGTGGGTCTGCCTTTCCCAGCCCACTGACTCAAATGTTAATCTCCTTTGGCAATACCCTTACAGACAAACCCAAGATCAATACTTTGCATCCTTCAATCCAATCAAGTTGATACTCAGTATTACCATCACAGCGCATTTGTGTGTATGTGTGTACATGACTGTTTTTGTGTGTGTGCACGTATGTGTGTGTGGTTGTGCATGCATGCTTGTGTATGTGTGTGCAGGGACTACCCCAGTCTTTATGGTCTAGAAGTGGTTCTATCATGCTCTAGCCAGGAATAAGAATTGGGCAGAGAAACTTTTAGAGGCAGAAATGGAATGGAAGTGGAAGAAAATACTCATGGAAGCACTTTTCATTATAATCTGCCCCTCCCCAGCCCTCCCCCACCCCCCGCAACACTGGTCCTTCTCTTGCTATGTTTTCCTGGGTTCTCCATGCAGACTTGAAAATGTCTGTAGGGTGAGAACACTCCACAAACAACAAATATTTGCTCAGTGATCACTGTGTACAAGGTGACAGAATTCCAAGCATTGTGTTGGTTTTTTATTTGCACACAAGTGCCTGGGTTCTATTGAGAAAATTCTAAAGATACATACTGACCTTTATGATTATCTCTTTCCAAATAACAAGAGTGTTGAACCTCCTGTTATTCTAAAGAGCTCAGAATGCTTTTCAGCCTTCCTCCCTTATTTCAGCTGTAGGTTTATTTGACCGTGAGGTTGCAAAGAGCTCTTGTTCTCTCCGTTTTGTTAAAGAGAAAATGAAGCCCGGGGAAGTGTGGATTTGGTCAGGTTCATGTAATTATGTTGTACGGGAACATGTGTCTCCTGACCCTCGTTTTCCATTAGATGGCATTGCCTTTCTAGAATGAGGTTAACAAGGATTAGTAGGAAGCACATTATTTAGAAAACAACTTTTGTTTTGGGGACAGCCTGAAAGATGAGAGCTATTTACTGAACCAAGGAAATCGTTCAGCATCTCTGAGGCTTCGCCATGCTTTTTGAGCGTAAAATTTCCTGAAATTCCTGAAAAGCAATGAGTTACATGACATGACTGTAATTAAATAAGCTTGCACAATTATATTCAAAAATAATATTGCTTTAAAAGTTGCATTAACAGTCATGCATAGCAAGGGCCCTGGGCATTGGTGGGGCCCAGGAGAGGGCTGGAGAACAGGCCATTGGCTCCACCTGCCCCTCTCTCTTCAATTTGTTAATTGGCACTGAACAACTTCAGTTTAGCATTTCTTCTCAGGATGAATTCAGACCATATTTTAAGTTCATTTGGGCACCTTGTGCATAGTGCTTTGTGCTGACTCAAGCCTCAGGAAAAGAGGTTGGGTTGCCAGGCCTGGAGTCTAAACTTACAGCTTCACTTCAGCACGGACTAGAAAAATGTAGGTTTACCAAAAATATTCGCTACTGAGTTTCCATTCATTCTGAAAGGTTCTACAGGAAACCAGAGGCATTGTTGAGTGTTACTGCCTAGGGCCGTGACTTCTGCTCATAGACATAATTCCAACCTCACAAATACCAGGGCTTAGAAGCTTAGAATGCCTTCTGAGATGGTGATAGGGTTTGGCTGTGTCCCCGCCCAAATCTCACCTTGCCACCACACTTTTTTTTTTTTTTTTGAGACATGCAGAGTCTTGCTCTGTCGCCTAGGCTGGAGTCCAGTGGTGCAATCTCAGCTCACTGCAATCTCCGCCTCCTGGGTTCAAGTGATTCTCCTACCTCAGCCTCCTGAGTAGCTGGGACTACAGGTGCCAACCAACATGCCCGGCTAATTTTTGTATTTGTAGTAGAGACGGGGTTTCACCATGTTTGCCAGGCTGGTCTCGAACTCCTGACCTCAAGTGATCTGCCCACCTCGGCCTCCCAAAGTGCTGGGACTACAGGCATAAGTCACTGAACCCGGCCCCAAATCTCACCTTGAATTGTAATAATCCCCACGTGTCAAGGGCAGAGCTAGGTGGAGATAATTGAATCAGGGGGGTGGGGTCCCCTAGATGGTTCTCGTGGTAGTGAATAGGTCCCACAAGATCTGATGGTTTTATAAATGGGAGTTCCCCTGTACAAGCTCCCTCTTGCCTGCTGCCACGTAAGACAAGGCTTGTCTTCGCTTCTTTTTTGCCTTCCGCCATGATTGTGAGGCCGCCCCAGCCATGTAGAACTGTGAGTCCATTAAACCTCTTTCCTTTATAAATCACTCAGTCTTGGGTATGTCTTTATCAGCGGTGTGAGAACAGACTGATAGAGAGGGAGACTGAGCGGATATAAAACCCAAACTCAGAAGTAACCTCCAGGATTCTTACAAACGCTCCAAGTATGTGTTCATAGGAGGCAGTCTGAGGCTTCTGGAAACACCTCTCCTCCTTCCCTACTTTCTGAGACTCTTGTCTGAACTTTATGTAAGTGACAGGAGCCAATAGGCAGCTACCAGGCTGCACTCCCTTAATGGCTCACGAGAAGGGCACCCTAACTTGCCTTTCTTTATGGTTGTGTGTCTGTGGGGATTAAATTCTTCCTTGAAAACTGGGGGACACCTACTCTGTCCACCATAAAAAGTTATCAAGACCAGGTGCAGTGGCTCACACTATAATCCTAGCACTTTTGGAGGGAGGCCTAGGTGGGAGGATTGCTTGGGCCCAGGAGTTTGAGGTCAGTCTGGGCAACATAGTGAGGCCTCGTCTCTACCAAAAATTTAAAAATTAGCGGGTCATGGTGGTACATACCTGTAGTCCTAGCTACTCAGGAGGCTGAGGTGGGAGGATGGCTTGAGCCCAGGAGTTGGAGGTTGCGGTGAGCTCTGATCACACCTCTGCACTCCAGCCCAGGTGACAGAGCAAGAACCTGTCTCAAAAAAAAAAAAAAAAAAAAAAAATAAAAGGATGTTATTGGCTGGGCGTGACGACTAACACCTATAATCTCAGCACTTTGGGAGATTCACTTGAGCCCAGGAGCTAGAGACCACCCTGGGCACCCTGGGCATTGATAGGGAGACCCCATGTCTACAAATAATTTAAAATAATTTAAAAATTAGCCAGGCATAGTAGTGCACGCCTGTGGTCCCAGCTGATTGGAAGGTTGAGATGGGAGGATCACTTGAGCCCCGGAGATTGAGGCTGCCGTGAGCCAAGATTGCTCCCCTGCACTCCAGCCTGGGTGACAGAGTGAGGTTTTGTCTCAAAAAAAAAAAGAAAAACAAAAAGTCACTGAAGAAGTGAAAGGAAATCATCTATTCAATATCGCCTTATAAATGGAGAGGTACTAGGTAGATCTGAAGTATTACTAATTTTGTGAAACCATAAAGAGATAGAATAAAAAAGTGTGTCTCAGTTTTGAACAAAACCCTTATTCTATCACATTCTATCATTCACAATGTATTTACGGGATCCTTTTGGCACAATGCTGTTGTCTGAATGTTTGTGTCCCTCTGAAATTCCTATGTTGAAATCCTAACATATTAGGCTATTAGGAGGGTGGGGCCTTTGGGAAGTGATTAGGTCATGAGGCTGGACGCTTCATGAATGGAATTGTTGCCATTTTATTTTATTTATGTATTTATTCTTTTTGAGATGGAGTCTTGCTGTGTCACCCAGGCTGGAGTGCTGTGGCATGATCTTGGCTCACTGCAACTTCCACCTCCCAGGTTCAAGTGATTCTCCTACCTCAGCCTCCCAAGTAGCTGGGACTACAGGTGTGCACCACCACACCTGGCTAATTTTTTATTTTTAGTAGAGACGGGGTTTCACCATGTTGGCCAGGCTGGTCTTGAACTCCTGACGTCAGGTGATCCACCTGCCTCGGCCTCCTAAAGTGCTGGGATTACTAGGCGTGAGCCACTGTGCCTAGCCATTGTTGCCAGTTTAAAAGAGACCCCAGGGAGCCCCTTCCAGCATATGAGGACACAGCTGAGAAGGCACTGCCTATGAACAAGGAAGTGTGCCCTCATCGGACACCAAGTCTAACACTGCCTTGATCTTGGACTTTGCAGCCTCTAGAGCTATAAGAAATAAATGGCTGTTGTTTATAAGACAGGTAGTCTATAGTATTTCATTGTAGCAGCCCAAATGGCCTAAGACACGCTTCTCTCTTTAACTGTGCATTGTTTTCCAGAGATATATAACAGTGCTCTGTACAGCTTAAGGCCGGGGGACATGCATGTGTAGCCTCTGGGAGCTTCAGTTACATGAAAAATAATTTTTGGGAGAAACATTTTTCTTAAAAAATTGTGATGTATTCACTTATTTATGCATTCATTCGACAAGTGTTTACAGAGGACTTGTAGAGGAAAATTAGATGCTCTAAGTAGCTGGAGAGTCATGATTCTATTGGTACTCACTCATGATCTGTAACCCTATCTCCATATGATATTTCTAATGTTTCTCAGCTCATCAGTATAGACAACCAGGCTTACCCCTCTATCTTCCAGTAGTTTGATAAGTGTTTACTTTAATGCAAATCTTTTTGCAATTATTGTACAACTTTGAATTTTAGACCAGCAGGTTGAATTGTAGCCAAAAGATTGCGTCAAACTTTCCTACACAACTGGTTCTGAAATTTCCACCGTGCAACGAATGTTGTTTTGTTCCTGCGGCTTTCTTGGCCTGTGGCTCTCTAAACCTTGAAACACACAATGGTTTGTCTTTGCAAAGGCCTTCCCTAACGGTGTGGAACAATCACTCATTCCGTTGCAGAACTGAACCACCTATCCTCTTCCTTAACCTCAAAATTCTCCTCAGTGAGTTCTTTCACTAAGGAGAGCTATTCAATAACTTTTCTTTCCACTGTAGATTAGATTTCCCAAAAATCAAAATAACACCAGCAAGACCAGCAAGGGGCTAGGGTTCAGGAAGGCAGCATGATATTGCTGAGAGCACAGGTGCTCCGAGCCAGGCGGATGGCGTGGATTCCTGCTCCACTTAAAAGTACACATTGCACCTTTAGACAACATCTTCACCCTGCCAGTCCCACATTGTGTAATGGGGACACAAATGTTGTCTATATGGCAGTTTCTCTGACAATGCTTTGCAGTCTTTGCTGCAGGAGGACCCCTTATGTCCGGGATTCCACGTTCGAGCTTCCTTGACATTATTTTTATTTATTTATTTATTTATTTTTCTTTTTTTTATTATTATACTTTAAGTTATGGGGTACATGTGCAGAATGTGCAGTTTTGTTACATAGGTATACATGTGCCATAGTGGTTTGCTGTACCCATCAGCCCATCATCTACATTAGGTATTTCTCCTAATGCTATCCCTCCCCTAGCTCTCGACCCCCTGACATGCCCTGCTGTGTGATGTTCCCCTCCCTGTGTCCATGTGTTCTCATTGTTCAACTCCCACTTATAAGTGAGAACATGTGAGGCTTGGTTTTCTGTTCTTATGTTAGTTTGCTGAGAATGATGGTTTCCAGCTTCATCCATATCCCTGCAAAGGACATGAGCTCATCCTTTTTTATGGCTGCATAGTTTTATTTATTTATTTATTTTTGAGATGGAGTCTCACTCTGTTGCCCAAGCTGGAATGCAGTGGCACAATCTCGGTTCACTGCAACCTGCACCTCCTGGGTTCAAGTGATCCTCTTGCCTCAGCCTCCTGAGTAGCTGGGACTACAGGCGTGCGCCACCAAGCCCAGCTAATTTTTATGTTTTTAGTAGAGGCGAGGTTTCACTATGTTGGCCAGGCTGGTCTTGAACTCCTGACCTCAGATGATCCACCCACCTCGGCCTCCCAAAGTTCTGGGATTACAGGCATGAGCCACCACAGCCAGCCCAAGCTTCCTTGACATTTTATGTTCATCCTAAACATTTGTGTCTGTTCTGCATACTGTTCGGCAATGTAGTTAGGTTTGTTTTAATATACAAATAATGTTTTCCTTCCCAAATATTTGAGTAAAACAAGTGCTCCAGAAAGAGGCTTTGCATAACTCCAACATCCTACAGCATACATACCTATGTTCTAGCAGTATGGTTATTAAGAGGATACTCAGGGCTGGAAATGTTCAACAGGTGTGCATCTGTGAGAAAATATGCACTGTTAAAATATTGAAACATATTTGTTTTGACTGGTGTATAGGTGCCCGCAATTGACTCTCAAACCCATGATATCAACCACGACACTAAACTCTCTCGCTATTACCAATGCCTCTCCGTTGTTAAAGCTACTAGTCTTATGGCTGTGATTAGAATTCAGTCTACTTGGGAGCGAACTGTTGCGCTGTGTGTATTTGGAACAGCATTGTGGCCAGCATCCCTTGCTCCTCTGCTTTTGGACACAGCCTTCTTTACATTAAGGAGCTCTGACTTCCCCATTCCATGAGGTTCTGGGAGGTTTCTAATCATAGCACCCACGTCCTCCATCCAGTGGTTCTTGGAATGGGCAGTGATACAAGTCTGGAAAATTACAGTCCCCCTCATTCCTCTGGGTGCGGTGACGGTCATGAGCATGTGACGAGGGGCAAGTATGCGACCCAAGATGGAACAGTCAGTATTTCTCTGAAACCCTGTATATGGATGTAGGGACTGAGAGGCTACTTATCTGCCTTTGAAACATGAGCTGAAAGGATGTGACTCAGAGCAAAAGTGGCCTTGAGCATGCAATGAAGAAGGACCCTATGGAATGACACCCAGACAGCAATGGACAGGTGGAGAGATTGAGGAAAAGAGAGGGCCCTGATGATATTGTCTGAGCATCAGACCATACCTGCCTCCTTTGCAACGGTGATTCTCAAACTTCAGTGTGTACTAGTGTCACCTGGAGAACTAACACAGAAGCCAGAGGCCCAGGCCTGCTGAAGAGGGGTAGGGCCAGGTCCTCTGCATTTCTTCCACATTCTCCAGGTGGTTTGAACACACACCAGACTTTGAGAAATACAGCTTTGCAAGCACGTGAACCACTCTGTCTTTTGCTGTAGCTACTTAGGGTTCCTATAAGAAGTGATAGAGAAAGTCACCTAGCATTCTACACAGTGAAGGTGGCAAACCTCCAGTCAGGACCCCAGAGTCTCCCTGATCCTGGATGGCTGAGTGAGTTATGGTTTTTGCTCCTGGGAAATACACTTCATAGACCCAATGATGGCTGGAGTGGGGTGCTAAGGTATAATGTTGATTAGGGAATGCTGCTGAGATCAACCACTGTGGATGGAAAGAGAAGAGAAATGGGTGGGATTGGGCAAAGGGAGACACTGGGCTCCAATGAAGTCTTGATGAAGGCTTCAGCCAACCTCACAGAGAGGTCTGGAGAGAGGAGCTCCATGCTAAAACAGGAGTGACACCTTCCACCTTTTTTTACTCCCTCATGTCTAATTCCTTGAGCCAGAGGAAGTTAGTGGGAATTTGCCAGAAGAATGGGGAAATAAACAATGAACAATCACAGATGAGGAATCCTTGCAGGAGGCAGGGCCACCATTTCCTCAGGTTCCCTCTGTGCATTTTTTTTTTTTTTTTGAGACAGAGTCTCGCTCTGTTGCCCAGGCTGGAGTGCAGTGGCATGATTTCAGTTCACTGCAACCTCTGCCTCCGGGGTTCAAGCGATTCTCCTGCCTCAGCCTCCCGAGTAGCTGGGATTACAGGCATGTGCCACCACACCTGGCTAATTTTTGTATTTTTAGTAGAGATGAGGTTTCGCCATGTTGGTCTGGCTGGTCTCGAACTCCTGACCTCAGGTGATGTGCCTGCCTCAGCCTCCCAAAGTGCTAGAATTACAGTCATGAGCCACCGCACCCGGCCCCTCTCTGGCTTTTGTCTGATCTCCTCATTAGGTTCTGGATTCATTCTCTTAATAACTTTCTCATGGGATGTGACTGTTGCTAGCTCAGAGTTCTATGCTGGGAACTCAAGAATGTAAGACTTCCACCAGCCCAGTTGAAGAGTCCCAGCCAAGCAACCTGTATTATAGCCACTCCTGATACCGAAATCTGTGTTAGTCAGGGTTCTCTAGAGGGACAGAACTAATAGGATTGCTGAACATATAAAGGGGAGTTTATTAAGGAGTATTGACTCACACGATCACAAGTTGAGGTCCCACAATAGGCCATTTGCAAGCTGAGGATCAAGGAAGCCAGTCCGAGTCCCAAAGCTGAAGAACTTGGAGTCCGATGTTTGAGGGCAGGAAGCATCCAGCACGGGAGAAAGATGGAGGCCGGAAGACTGAACCAGTCTAGTCTTTCCTCGTTCCTCTGCCTGCTTTTATTCTAGCTGTGCTGGCAGCTGATTAGATGGTGCCCACTAGATTGAGGGTGGGTCTGCCTTTCCCAGTCCACTGTCTCAAATGTTAATCTCCTTTGGCAACACCCTCACAGACACACCCCGGGACAATACTTTGCATCCTTCAATTCCATCAAGTTGACACTCAGTATTAACCATCACAACACCTTAGCTTGAATTCGGTTTTGTCATCTTGCCTGGGTTCATCCTTATGTCCAAGGGGTAGCAACTTTACCAGAAGGGGGTGAAAGGCTGCTAGTCAGGCAGATGATAGTCCCGCTATCTCACAATCACAGTGATTAGGGAAGTAGTTTTACATACATCACCTTGTTTCATCTTCACAGAAATCCTGCTAGGACATTAAGTATAACCTCAACTTTTTTTTGCCAGGTCCAGTGGTTCATGCCTGTAATCCCAGCACTTTGGGAGGCCAAGGCAAAAGGATTGCTTGAGGCCAGGAGTTCAAGACCAGCCTGGACAACATAGTGAGACCCTGTTTCTACAAAAAAATAAAAATATTAGCCAGGCTTGGTGGTGTGTGCTTGTAGTCCCACATATTCGGGAGGCTGGGGTAGGAGGATCGCTTGAGCCCAGCAGGTCAAGGCTGCAATGAGCTATGATCACATCACTGCACTCCAGCCTGGGCAATACAGTGAGCCCCTCTCTCCAAAAAAAAAGGAAAACAAATTACCTTGACTTTTTTATGATGAAACTGAGGCTCACACAGTTCCTGCATGGCAGGACTGGGATTTGAACCTCAGTCTCTCTAACTCCAAGGCCCACATCCTTTCCAGCACCCCTGTGGGATGCCAGCAGGCTCTGCTTCCCTCTCTGCTCACTTACTCTGGAGTTCTTGGCACTTTTCACAATAGTTGTATCTGCCATGTTAATTTCTTAAAACAAGAATCACTCAGCATGTTTTAGAATTGACTGGATGTGTCTGCCACCTAAACTGTTCCGTGTGATGAGGCCTGGAGACGCCTGTATTCACCAGGGACTCACCCAGAACATGAGGGCTGAGGACACAGAAGAGCTGATGTGATTTCTGTCACCTTCTCTCTTTCCAACATGCTAGTCAAATTCTCTTTCTCTCAGGTTCTCATATTGAAGTTCTTTTTCCTATTTATCGTGCATGTTCCACCCTTACATGAAGAAGAGAGGAGAAGAAAAGGGAGACAAACAGAGAGAGGAGAGGAGAGGAGAGGAAGCTATTTGTTAGCGTTAGGATTTTTCTTTTCCCAGGAAGACTGAGATCCATGTAATCCATCTGTCCTCTTTGTTGATGAGTTTCTGGAGGTCCCGAATTAGGTTTGTTCACTGCAGTGTCCCCCACGTTTCCTAGCAGAATGCCATGAACATGGAAGTTTCTCGGTCAATGTGTAGTGACTTAAAGTGAGTTTTTCCTTGAGTCAGTTTTGCTGAAAGTTGTGTATACAATCAGGAAACAGCTTTAATCCTCTTCTTAGTGTTCAATGGACAGAAAACACATACCCACCATCCCACCGAGGAAGAAAGGAAGGGAACATAATACGTATCCACTCTGGGAGGTGCAAAGGAGGTACTTCGTTACCTTATTTTACCCTAACAACAACCACCCATGGGCAGAAATATTATTCTCTCCATCTCCAGAGGAGGAAATTTAGAGAGAATAAGTCATTTTGGATTCAGCGTGGGGTAGGGTTTGTCAGCACAGACTCCGGACCACCTAGGCTTGTCGTCAGGTTCCAGCACTTACTCGCTTCTGTGGCCTTGGGCAAGTTCCATGATTTCTCTGACCTTAGTTTCCTCATCTGTAAAATGGGGATGATAGTATCTAATAAACAGATTGCCCTGGAAAGACAGTGCCTAACACAGAATAGAGTTTGATGATGGTCGTTTAACAACACCCGCCCATCATTAGGACTTCTTTTTATCAATACACCGCTTTTTAATGCTTTAGAGTGCACCAGAAACATCCAAAGAGCTTGTTGAAATTACAGACACCAGAGACACGCCCCAATTAGGGTGACCAACTTGCCCCCGTTTTCCCAGGACTTTCCTGGTTTTAGCTCTGAAAGTCCTGCGTCCTGGGGAACCCCTCAGTCCTGAGCAAGTTAAGATGGTTAGTCACTGACCAACCCACACTAACCATATCAGAATCTCTGGGTGTGGGGTTCTGGTATCTGTAGCTTTTTTTTTTTCTTTTTTGTTTTTTGAGACGGAGTCTCGCTCTGTCGCCCAGGCTGGAGTGCAGTGGCGCCATCTCTGCTCACTGCAAGCTCCGCCTCCCGGGTTCGCGCCATTCTCCTGCCTCAGCCTGCCGAGTAGCTGGGACTACAGGCGCCCACCACCACGCCCGGCTAATTTTTTGTATTTTTAGTGGAGACGGGGTTTCAGTGTGTTAGCCAGGATGGTCTCAATCTCCTGACCTCGTGATCTGCCCACCTCGGCCTCCCGAAGTGCTGGGATTACAGGATTGAGCCACCGCGCCCGGCCAGGTATCTGTAGCTTTAAAAAGAGAGAGGCATTGGGATTAGGAAGAGAGTTTAGTGTAGTGCTTTATATCACGGGTTTGAGAGCCGAGTAGGCCTGGGTTTGAATCTCCTTTTTGTCGTTTTTGAGAAGCATGACTTTGGCTGCGTTGATGAGTTCCTGGAAAGGCCACTGGGAAATGGAGAGTAGCAGCTATAATGTTGATTAGGGAATGCTCCTGGGATCAACCCTTGTGGATAGAAAGAGGAGGGAAAGGGGCAGGATTGGGCAGAGGGAGGCATTGGGCTACAATAAAGTCTTGATGAAGGCTTCAGCCAACTTCACAGAGAGCTCTGGAGAAAGGAGAGCTGTTAGAGTTGTCCTGAGTTGGAGTGAGGGGACCAGGACTCTCTGCTTTCATGTCAACCAAGTCAGTGGATGCTGGCTCCCTACAGCAATCACCCGGGTGGCTGACAGCTGAGAGCTATCTGTCAACAGCGTTTCTTGCAGCTTTGAGAATAAATATTACAGAGAACAACTTTTTCAGGTGCCACATCACAGCATCCACGACAGGGTGAATTACTAACTCCTCCAATAATTAATAAGATTACTTGCACAGAGGGTTGTTATGGATTAAGTGCACACATACAGTGCAGTTTCTCTGACATACTGCAAGCACTCAAGTCATTTTAGTTAATAGAATAAAGATAGAATGGGGTAGAGCTTCAGACGGAGGTGGGGCTGCTTCAGAAAGCTTTCTTGGAGGCATTTCTGACTTATCTGTGTTACTAGAAGCAATAATGTTTGAATTTTTATTGTGGGATGTATTACTATGTTGGGCGTGAAACAAAGATACAAAGTGGGTAAACAAGTGAATTCATTTAACAATTGTTTAATAAACACCTGTTAAGAGAGGGTGTAGACTCTGAATGAAGCTTGAAAAGGGAAGCACAGTTTTTGCTCTGGAAGAATATGTAATTTAGTGGGCTACCGATGGCTTATATAAGAGATTCCCTGGAAAACTAAACACATTTTTATTAGTAGTAATGCAACACAGTATGGAAGACTCTTGGTACTGGAATATGGTGGTGTTGGATATTGGGTTCTAAAATTACGTCCAGTAACAGACTATTCATATCCATCAAAATGTGTAATTAGATGCTGCTGCTACATAAGTTTTTTTGTTTTGTTTTGTTTTTGATTCTGAGACAGAGTCTTGCTCTGTCACCCAGACTGGAGTGCAGTCGCATGATCTTGGCTCACTGAAGCCTTGACCTCCCCAGGCTCAAGTGATCCTCCCACTTCAGCCCCCCAAGTAGCTGGGACTACAGGTGTGCACCATCACATCTGGCTAATTTTTTTATTACTTGCAGAGACAGGCTTTCACTATGTTGCCTAGGCTGGTCTTGAACTCCTGGGCTCAAGCGATCCTCTTACCTTGGCCTCCCAAGATGCTGGGATTCCAGGCGTGATTCACTGCACCGGGCTGCTGGAGAAGCTGTAATGGGACTGCTGCACTTTAACACATTAACTTGCTGAAACATTCTGGGGGGTAATTTTGAATCTACATCAAGAGCCTCAAAGACACCTATGTCCTTTGAAACAGAATCCTACCCTTGAGACTCTAATCCAGAATTATTTGAAATGAGAAAAAATAAAAAGCTATCCACTGTAAGATGTTTTCTTTGTTATATGGCTCCTAATAGAAAGAATCTGAAAACTCTTTAAATGTTTCATGATAGGGAAACATTTCTTTAAAATTAAAATTCAATTGTCTTGGAAAGGGTTGGGTCTCCTTTGGGACCCATTTTCCAAATGAAGGAAGTTGAGGCCATTAATCGGTCATAGGCTTGTTGCAACAGGTGGAGACAAATGGAACCAGGCCTTGGATGACATCAGGAATATAATGGAGCAGAAAGCTACTGACCTCCCTCCATGGATAGATGCACCAAATAAGCATCTACCCACAGATCCATTTCCTCGGAAAGTCAGAGACCAGTTGAGAGACACCTATCCACCAGACAAATGAGAAAATGTTGATATCAGATAGATAGGAAAACTGGGGCACACTTGGGCCCAGTATGCACCCTGACCACGGTGCCATAAAATTGGGAAAGGAGTTCCCAACGCCCAGCTTATTCCCATGGAGAGGATGGTCTGAGCCTCACATGAAGGGCCCTAATCCTGTTTCCCCATGATTTAACACTTAATGCACCAAACACAAGAACAGAGGGGATTAGATACACATGTGTAGGAAAAAAATATAGCAGTTTAATATGGGCATGCAAGTATTTTCAGAGAATTTATACCACTGGAATCAGCACAGAGAAGGGGCTTAAATCAGTGCAGAGAAGGGGCTTAAAAACATACGTGGACAAGCACAATGGCTCATGCCTGTAATCCCAGCACTTTCGGAGCACAACGTGGCAAAACCCTGTCTCTACAAAAAAAAATTATGAAAATTAGCCAGGTGTGGTGCTGCATGCCTATAGCCCCAGCTTCTCAGGAGGCTGAGGTGGGAGGATCACTTGAACCCGGGAGGTTGAAGCTGCAGTGGGTAAAGATTGTACCACTGCACTCCAGCCTGGGCAACAGAGCGAGAGCGAGACCCTGTCTCAACAAAACAAAACAAACAACTCTGTTTCCCCTTGGAAGGAGTTTACAAAACATACCTGTAGCTGCTACCTGGTGGCCTGGCTTCTAATTAACTTGCTTGGGGAGTTAACGAGACAATTATTAACCTGTCACCAGTCTGGGAGGAGTTTGTACTCACGCTAAGTGCTCCAGCCCTTATAACATCCACCTAAGGAACTGCATTCTAAATGTCCTAGTTCAGGGAGAGGATAAGACTGGCAAACACATGTCTCTCTAGACTGCAGAGAAAAACAAAGTGGTGGTTTTACATTATAAAGGGTGCATAAGCAATTTGAAGGACTCCATCCCCAGGGAGCAATGCTGAGAAGGGGTTTTAAAAACACAGCCCCTGTATATTCTGGATGTTAATCTCTTGTCAGATCAATAGTTTGCAAATATTTTCTCCCAAATTGCAGGTTGTCACTTCATTCTGTTGATTGTTTCCTTTGCTGTGCAGGAGCTTTGGAGTCTGATATAATCTCATTTGTCTATTTTTGCTTTTGTTGACTGTTTTTGAGGTACTAGCCATAAAACCTTTGCCTAGACCAATGTGCTGAAGTGTTTTCCCTATGTTTTCTTCTCCTAGTTTCATAGCTTCGGGTCTTACGTTTAAGTCTTTGATGCATTTTGAGTTGATTTTTGGATCTGGTGAGAGATAGGGGTCTACCTTCATTCTTCTGCATGTGGATGCCCTCTTTTCTAGAGATACTTGGAACGCAAATAACTCAACAGCAAACAAACAAAACAAAAAGCAAAAGCAAAAAACAAATAATCTGATTAAAAAATAGGCAAAAGATTGGAATAGGCATTTCTCAAAAGAAGACATACAAATAGCCAAGTATATTAAAAAAATGCTCCACATCACTAATCATCAGGAAAATGCAAATCAAAACCAAAATGAGATATCATCTCACCCCAGTTCAAATGGCGATTATCAAGAAGACAAAAAAATAACAAACGCCGAAAAGGATACGGAGAAAGGGGAACTCCTACAGTACAGCCGTTATGAAAAACAGTATGAAGTTTTCTCCAAAAACTAAAAATAGAACGACCATATGATCCAGCAATCCCACTGCTGGGTATGCATCCAAAGGGAAGGAGATCAGCATGTCAAAGAGATATCTACACTCTCGTGTTTATTGCAGCACTATTCACAATAGCAAAGATACGGAATCAACCTGAGTGTCTATCAACAGATGAAGGGATAAAGAAAATGTGGCACTTATACAATAGAATACTATTCAGACATTTAAAAAAAGAATAAAATCCTTCATTCGCAGCAACATAGATGAGCCTGGAGGACATTATATTAAGTGAAATAAGCCAGACACAGAAAGACAGATACCACATGTTCTGACTCATATGTGAGAGCTGAAAAAGTTGGTATCATGGAAGTGGAGAGGAGAACAGTGGTTACCAGAGGCTGGGAAGGTTAGGGGGAAGGAAAAATAGGGAGAGGTTGGTTAATGAGTACAAAATTACAGCCAGATAGAAGGAATAGTTTCTAGTGTTCTATAGCACTGCAGGGTGACTCTAGTTAACAATAATTTATTGTATATTTTCAAATAGCTAGAAGAACAGATATTGAATGTTCCTAACACAAAGAAATGATGGATGTTTGAGGTGACGGACAGGCTAATTACCCTGCTTTGCTCATTTCACATGTATACATGTATTGAAATATCACATGTACACATAAATATCTATGATTATTATGTGTCCATTTAAAAGAATGGAACCAAGCCTCTTTAATTATTGGTCAGGAATTCTATTTCTGTCTCCAACAAACTACCTTTTTGCTTCTAAACTTGCTGCCCTAGAGTGAAATGTTAACTCCCAATGTTGCCAACTATGAGGCCAAAGGAAAATGACTTGATGTACATTGGTGAATGTATTTGGTTCGTGTTTTTAAGTTTTTTTATTCCTTCCTTCTTTCTTTATTTCTACTAATGTTCAATCAGGTGAACCTTAGGAAAAGAAGCTAATTTGTACCAAAATCTTACCTTGAACTCCCTAAGTATAAACTTAGTGTGGTTTCACATGCCCTTTCAATGAGGCATCTTGGGATTAGTCCTCAAGGAAAATACAGTCATGAGCCATATAATAATGTTTCAGTCAGCAACAGACCCCATATAGAATGGAGGTCCCATCAGGTTATAAACTATCTTTTTACTGTACCTTTTCTATGTTTAGAAACACAAACAAACACATATTCATGTTGTAAAGTGACAACACACGACTGTAAATGAAAAGTCCATTTGTTTGACAAATTTTAATAGTACATTCTTGGTACATCATCGTGGTCACATTTGATTTAATAAGCATTGTAAAACTCATGATGGGGCCGGGCACAGTGGCTCACGCCTGTAATCCCAGCAGTTTGGGAGGCCGAGGCGGGCAGATCAACTGAGGTTAGGAGTTTGAGACCAGCTTGACCAACATGGTGAAATCCCGTCTCCACTAAAATACAAAAATTAGCTGGGCATGGTGGCAGGTGCCTGTAATCCCAGCTGCTCGGGAGGCTGAGGCAGGAGAATCGCTTGAACCTGGAAGGTGGAGGCTGCAGTGAGCCGAGATCACGCCACTGCTGGGCAACAGAGCAAGACTTTGCCTCAAAAAAAAAAATAAATAAATAAAAAATAAAAAGAAAGAAAAAAACTCATGATGGCAGGGGAGGTACAGAACCAATGTACAGAACCAATGCATGCCTGACTCCTGATTTCCCAGAGCTGGAGTTCTTACACTGGTGTATCAGTTAGGACTCATTCTTTTAGAAGTGACAGAAAACCTGATAGGAATCAGTTTGATTTAAAAAGAAATAGAGGGTTTTTTTTTTGTTTTTTTGTTTTTTTTTTTTAAATAAAAGGGAGTGTATTAGCTGCCTTATGCGGAAAAGTCCAGGGTTAATCTTGCTTCAGGCGTGGCTGAATTTGGGGCTTAGTTGATATCAACAGAAGAAAGCATTGGAGCATCTCTTGGCTCTGCCTTCCTTTGTGTGGGCTTCAGTTTCAGCCGCACGTGATAACAAGGTGGTGCCTACAGTAGCAGCTGCAACCCCTGTCTCTGGTTTCAGGGCCAGTGGATAATAAGAACAGGAGTCATTTTCCCAGAAGTCCAGAGAAAAATCTCATTAGGTCTCACTAACCCTGAGTGTGTCACATTCAGACAGCGAGATGGGAGGGGGTCCCCAGAAAACCTCCAACCAGCCTGCCCACTTGGGGTGGAGCCTCGGGAAGCTCGTGCCATTTGCATCAGGGAGGAGCCTGGCCCCTCCTCTTCCTGTGTGTAACCTGGGATTCCAACAGGAAGGGTTGTAGCAGGGACTCTGACCTAGTAAGAGTCCCTGTTTCCCCCTTTTCTTCCTTTTCACCCAATAAAACCCTGTTTTACTCACCATTCAAATTGTTGGCGAGCCTTTTCAAATTGTCTGCAAGCCTTAATTTTCGTGGCCATGGGACAAAGAACTCTGTCTTTAGCTGAACTAAGGAACAGTCCTGGAACAACATAGCCGCTCTACCAATCAGAGGGAAATGCAGCAGACTGATGGGCGTGGGCCTGGGTCATATGTTGCACCCCTGGAGTGGGATGGTGGGGAAGGAGTCGGTTTCACGGAGCACAGAAAACCACAGTTCTTTAAGAGTGGGATGAGATGGGATGAGATGGCTTTAAAGAGGAAATCAGGACACACTTACTAGATAGTGAGTCAGTGAGTACTAGGCAGCAAAATCAACAGATGTCTACTACAGTTGGACTGTTGTCATTTTATTCTAGCTTTGCTGGGAAAAAGCCACTACGAACGCATTCAGCAAATTGCAGACTTGCGCTGAAGAGAAGAGACACAAGAATTGAAGGAGCTCAGCTTCTTTTCTCTAAATAGAACATAGTTTATACTAGTGAGGACAGATGCTTGTTTATTCTGTGCTGAAAGCTCTCCAACCAAGAGCATTTCCAACATCCTTCCCTCTGCAGATTGTTGCGGGACTTTGCAACTCTTACTAGTCAAAGGGAAACCTTAGGGAGGGGCTATTTAAGATGGAGTAATAAATATGTTTGGAGAAGAGCTAAAGGGCTATGTTATTTCACAGTTCTGGAATTCAGAGCAATAAAAAAGTAAACAGTCTTACTGGCTCAAAGGGGAGAGTCTTTTCATCTTGAAAATGACTTTATTTGGATTATTTTGGCCTCTCAAGAGACTTCCCCTGTGGCTGTATTATAAAATAATTCCTCATGTTTTCATTATATACTGTTCTGTCAGGCCTTGTGAAACAAGAAATGACTTACTGCATTTATTTGCTGTGTGATGGGGCTTTTCTGTTATTTACACATTCTTTGGTATACTATTAATTCATACCCACTTCAAATATGTAATTTTGGAGGCAATTTTCATTAAAATTTCTTACAACACATACATTTGAGATAATTGAACTGAGGCCTTATTTACCCAAATTGCTTATGCCAATACTATTCTATGGGTTTTAAAAGTAGGACACATTTTTAGAAATGGTCTCTGATGATGAATATTTGGAGATGATTTTTGATCTCTGGAAAAACATTTGTTCCCAACACAGGTGAAATCAATTCACTTCTAAGTTGATAATTATGGCAATTTAATGAAACCAGTTTTTATGAATTAAGAAAGACATTTCTTTTTAAAAACATGTTTATTGATACATAATATTTACATATTCATGGGGTACTTGTGATTTTTTTTACATGCATAGAATGTGTGATGATCAAGTCAAGGCATTTAGGATATCCATTATGCAAGTATTTATGATTTCTATGTATTGGGAACATTTCAAGTTCTCTCTTCTAGCTACTTTGAAATATGCAATACATTGTTGTTAACTGTAGTCACCTTGCTCTGCTATGAACATTAGAATGTATTGCTTCTATCTAGCTGTATGTTTGTAACCATTAACCAACCTCTCTTCATTCCCCACACCGCACCCTTTCCTGACTCTGGTAACTATCATTCTACTTTCTGTTTCCATGAGACCAATGTTTTTAGTTCCCACATATGAGTAAGAACATGCAACAAGAATAAGAACATATGAGAAAGGCAAACAGATATTTATCTTTCCATGCCTAGCTTATTTCATTTAATAACTTCCAGTTTCATCCATGTTGCTGCAAATGACAGAGTTTCATTCTTTTTTTTATGGCCAAATAGTATTCCATTGTGTATATTTACCACATTTTCTTTATTTATCCGTTTATCTGGCGATGGATGTTCAAGTTGATAGTTGATTCCATATCTTTGTGAATAGTGCTCAAATAAATATGGGCGTGCAGATATCCCTTTGATATACTGATTTCCTTCGAAAAGGACATTTCTTTCTTCCTTTTTTTTTTTTTTTTTGACAGAGTCTCGCTCTGTGGCCCAGGCTGGAGTACAGTGGTGCAATCTCAGCTCACGGCAACCTCCACCTCCCAGGCTCAAGTGATTCTCCTGCCGCAGCCTCCCGAGTAGCTGGATTTACAGGCAGGCAAAACCACACCCAGCTAATTTTTTTGTATTTTTTGTAGAGATGGGGTTTCACCATATGGCCCAGGCTGGTGTTGAACTCCTGGGCTCAGGCAATCCACCCGCCTCGGCCTCCCAAAGTGCTAGGATTACAGGTGTCAGCCACCACAACTGGCCTGGACCTTTCTTTATCTTACTACCTGAGCTCTAGAGTCTGGTGGGTTCTAATCCAGGTGAGATATTACCAAGAACTGGCAAACTCAGGGCAAATTTGAGACAGTATTCCTATAATGAATAATACCAGTTTTTGAATTCAATTTTTTCACTCTGGTTATAGAATAGCCCCAGTTTTTATTTATGGAACCCTACACCCATATACTTTATTATGGTCTAGCATATCTTCTATTGGGCTAAATTCTTAGAAAGAACAAAGTAAGCACAGTAGCCTTCCTGCCAGGCTAGGAAGGAAGCTGAGTAGGTAACTTCCTGCAGTATAATTCAAGGGATGTTAGAAGGTATCCTGCCTAAAGGTTAAGATCCCACAGAAATAGCCCGTAGCAGACACTCATCAAATATTTGTTTAATGAAGGGAAAAACAAATAAATTAATTGGCGTAAAGTCATCTTGCAGGCAAAATTAGAAAAGGATCATTTAGATATTCCTCTTAATTTATCTCCCTCATTTCTAATGGGGTCTACTTTTATCAGTGTCACGGCAGTGACAACCATTGTCATTAAAGAATATCATACCAGGACTCAGACAAGAATGTGTACACCTACCTTCTTAGAGATAAAAATATAACTGTGAATAATGATGGAACTTTCGAAAGTACATGAAATCAGTTCCTTGAGTGATGAAAAACAAAACATAATTCTCCTTGTTCAACCATGCTGGTGGCATTTCTATTTTATGAAAAACCTGGCCTGGTGTGGTGGCTCACTCCTGGAACCCCAGCACTTTGGGAGGCCAAGGCAGGCAGATCATGAGGTCAGGAGATCGAGACCATGCTGGCCAACATGGTGAAACCCCGTCTCTACTAAAAATACAAAAAAAATCAGCCAGGCCTGGTGGTGCATGCCTGTAATCCTAGCTACTTAGGAGGCTGAGGCAGAAGAATCACTTGAACCAGGGAGTTGGAGGTTGCAGTAAGCCGAGATTGTGCCACTGCACTCCAGCTTGGTGACAGAGTGAGACTCCACCAAAAAAAACCCAAAAAACAAAAAACAAAAAAAACCCCGTCACCATCATTTCTAAGTCACGGGTGCCTTCAAATATATTAGTCACAGGGGGCCCCTGGGTTGCACCACTCCAGGGACAACATGCATAGACACTACCATGTGAATAGCACCCTGGAGTTGTGTCACCCAACGCCCCTGTAGTTACTCTACTCTACTTGGCATTTATTGTTGATTTGTAGTAGCTTGTCCAAAACCTCAGTTCTTTAAGGTGTGGTTTAAGTTTTTCAAGTCTTGATCTCATATTAATTAGTAGGCTTGCAAAAAGTATTGCCTTACATTAATGCATATTTTTACTTTCTCCCTGCTTTTCTGGTTTATGGGGCTGGCGCTTAGGAAGAAGAATTTCGAGAAGAACCTAAATGCCTCGAGCTGGAGCAGAAAATGACATCAGGTAGAGTACATTCTGTGTGATTCCTTTTCCAGGCTGCTGTTGCTGACAGAAGTGCTTGGAGCATCCTAAGGCTTTTCAGATTGCAAAGGAAAACCTGTATGTTCCAAATGATTGGAAACATGACTAGAAATGTCACGTGTGATATATTCCAGGCACGACATCTGGACAATCTGGTTGTGATGCAGAAAATAGCTCGTTCTGTTCTTTGTCTTCTTTCTTTTATTGATTACAGTTCTTGATGAACAAACACTTGCAAAGAAGTAGATGATGATAATGATGAAAAAATTTCAAATTCAGTAACGCTAAACTAAGAAGTATCATTATTTACTGAAATATTTATGATTATCTTGGAAAACATTATTTAGATAAGTTTGCTGGGGTTTTTTTTATGTTTGTGTATGGTCAAGTATGCAGCTTCGCTAAAGTGATTTATGCCACAATAGGACGCCCTATGAGTTAATGAGGAAAGAAATAAATGACGAGTGAATTTATAACTTAGTTTATGACTGTGATCTGTAATGATAATGAGATGTAATCGTCATAAAATAAACATTAGTTGAATGGGCCTAATAATAATGAAAGCTAAATCTTAATACTCTCAGCCTCTATTTACCAATGGCTTTTAGTTTTAGTTTGGTGTTTTATGTGATTCGGTGTTAGAAGATGGCTCCAGACGTGTTTGCTGCTGGCAAAGGCTCATGTTCTTGTACTTTAATGGAAATTAGGGAGAAGAATTAAGAAATTGGAAGTGGTAATGAAAAGAGTATGCAAAGTGGGAGGAAAAGTAGCACCCTACTCTGGTATAGATGAAGGAGACACAATGAGCAATTAATCAGCTCCACCCTTTCCCTCTATACTATCTCCTCCCATCTCCTCCCAAGTTCCCTGTACCCCCATCAATTACCAACATTGCTTTAATTTAGTGCCTCTTCCTGAGACACTGTCCCCTTGCAGATCCTTGTACAGATGGCTCAGTTCAAATGTCCTGTCCCAGAGAAAACGTTCCCAACCATCTTGGCATTCTTCCAAATCACTCTTCATCCCATTACACATTTTTTTTTCATGATTCTCATTCCAATCTGTTATGGTTTGGCTCTGTGTCCCCACCCAAATCTCACCTTGGATTGCAGTTCCCATAATCCCCATGTGTTGTGGGAGGGACGCAGTAGGAGGTAATTTAATCATGGGGGCAGTTACCCTCATGCTGTTCTCATGATAGTGAGTGAGTTCTCATGAGATCTGATGGTTTTATAAGGGGCTGTTCCCACTTCACTCTGCACTTCTCCTTGCTACTGTCATGTGAAGAAGGACATGCTTCCTTCTGCTTCCGCCATGATTGTAAGTTTCCCGAGTCCTCCCTAGCCCTGCAGAACTGTGAGTCAATTAAACCTCTTTCCTTTTTAAATTACCCAGTCTCTTGCAGTTCTGTATAGCAGCATGAGAATGGCCTAATACACAATCCAAAATAATCTTTCTGTTAATCTGTGGTTTATTACAATATTGTCTCTTAGAGAGCAGGGACATTACCAGTCTTGTTTAATGGCATCCCTAGCACCTTGGACAGTGCCTGATACATAGTAGTAATTCAGTAAATTTTTGTTAAGTGACTCCCTCATGTCCATTATGGGCAAGACACTCTCTTACTGTCTGTAGTGGGGGTACAGGTGGGGTAGGTTTGACATAGGCCAACACTATGCTATTTTAGATTTCTGCGATATGAAAAAAAATATGACATGGCACTTGCCCTCAAGACAACAAATTATGTTCGCAATATGAGAAATCATGTGAAGATATCTATATAATCAAAGTTCTGCTGGGAACACTGAGGAAGGAGCAATTCAATTTGCACTGGGAAGCAGGATCAAACAAGGCCCCTTGGGGTTGATGATACTTGTAATGAAGATTGGAGTTTGAAAGCCTACTTTCATAATAGGGGCATAGTAGGGGCAGTGGTGGAGCTTACATATCATACCTTTGAAAATGACTCTGAGTACCACTTTTGCACATTTACCCTTGATCTTTCATTTCTCAGCCAGAGAAGAAGGCTGGGAGGATGGTCATTGCTGCATCAATGCAAATTCAGCCAACTCAAAGGCTTTGAATTTCCCAGCTGCTGTTATAAATGCTTTTATTTGCTCTCTTGGCATAGTGCCCACTATGTTCTGAGAACATTTGTTCACACACGTTGGGAGGACATCATTACTCACTAAAGACTTGCTAAGAAATGAGATGACTTTACTGAGTTCTTTTATGACACCTCAGGGTGAGAAATTAGACATCCCATTCTGAAAAATTCTGCTAGGGTTCCCAGCTCCTTAGGCCCTCAGTATGTGTTACTAGAGATTCAGCAAAGTGGTAAAGATTTCCCTCAATAAATGCATTTGGAGTTGGACACCTCCCTCAAAATAAATCTGCAGAAAAGAGCAAATGAAGTGTAGGTAGACATTTAGAATCCCAATTTATCTGTGATCAGCAGGTATGGTTTTACATTATTGACACAATAAAAGGCTTATTACTTTCCCTTCTTCAAAAACACCTAAAAATGCTGTTGTCTAACTGGAAATTTCAAGCAGAAAATGCAGTTTCTCATTATTTCTTAAAAATGCTTGGGTCCGCAGACTTTGGGGCTTGCTATAGAGCTCCTCTTCTTTATTCAGGATTTATTCCTAAATGTGTGTCTTTGCATTGCATCTTGCTTTGGGTGTACTTGTGTTTCTAGTTGTAGTTCATTCTATCCAGATCTCCCATATTGATTAACCATTCTTTAAAATCCTGTTAGGTGTAAGTTGTGTCTGCTAAATTATTTGAAAAGTATGAACATATACTATATTCATTCAAAAAACTTTTACTGAATGTCTACTATGTGCTAGATATTGTAATAGGAATTATGCTATATAGTGAAGAATCTGAGAATGAGGAGGAGGATACATTCTGAGAAATGTGTCACTAGGCAATTTTGTCATTGTGTGAACATCATAGAGGGCACTTACACAAACCTAGATGGTATAACCTACTACACACTGAGGCTATATGATGTAGCCTATTGCTTCTAGGCTACAAACCTGTATGGCATGTTATTACACTGGATATTGTAGGCAATTATAACACAGTGGTAAGTATTTGTGTATCTAAACATATCTCACCATAAAAGAGGTACAGTAAAAAATACAGTAGTATACTCTTATGGGTCCACTGTTGTATATGTGGTTTGCTGTTAACCAAAACATTGTTACATGGCACATGACTGTATTTAGAGTGGTAAATACGACAGACTTGACTCCATCCCTCATGGAATGTATGGAAAGTGAGAAATACAGCCATTAGACAAATAAAATGTGAGTTATAGAGAAATGGTAGCCTTTAAATAGTAAAATGTAAGTTTTAGAGAAAGCAGGATACTATGGAAGTCTTGCCTTCACAGAGCTTCAGTCAAATAGAGCCTTTAAAACATGAACACAGAGAGCTAGGAGAAAAGGTAGAATACAGCATGTGCTGAAACAGAGACATAAGTAGGGGGCCAGGGAGCACTAAGGAGGTGAAAGAAACCCAGCTGGAGGAATCCAGGAAGTTTTTCAAGAGAATGCACCATAAGAGCTGGGCCTTGAAGGACAGAGATGAAATTCATTTGTGAAGGGAGACACGTCAGCCAGGGTGTTTATAAAGCAAAACCCAAATACTGTAAATTGGATTCCAAGTGATACTTGCTTGGAGTTCAGCCCATTTTTTTTTTTTTTTTTTTTTTTTTTGGCTGATGATCTAATTCTTGGGCATCTGACACTTCATCCTGAGTTCTATAATTTGTATTCATATTCGTAGGAGCCACCCACGTGATAATGACAGACGAGTTAGGAGTGTGCTCTGTCCTTACCACCATTGTTACTGTCTTCTGCCCTCAGATAATTGTGTCTGTATACATTGGAGGCCTTTCTTAGTAGGTGATTGAAAGATGGAACCTTAGTGCCTTTCCCGGAATCAGGTAGCATTTCCTTGTCACTTTGTGGATATACTAGCTTCATGGATACATTAGCCCATTTATAAGAACTTCCTTTTAATGTGATGCATTGTGGTTTGCTGTCAATGGGTACCCCATTTCAGCAAGAGAAGTGCTGGGCAGATTCTGCAGGGAGATGAAGTTTACCGTCTACGACCATACCACCCTGAACGCACCCAATCTCATCAGATCTCGGAAGCTAAGCAGGGTTGGGCCTGGTTAGTACTTGGATGGGGGAGACGAAGTTTACCTTCTTTTCACACCTGCACTTTCTATGTTCCAAGCCTCCTCAGTGAGTGTATTAGTCGAGTTCTCTAGAGGGACAGAACTAATAGAATAGATGCATATATGAAGGGGAATTTATTGAGGAGTATAGACTCACATGATCACAAGGTGAGGTCCCACAATAGACCTTCTGCAAGCTGAGGAACAAGGAAGCCAGTCCAAACCCAAAATCTCAAAAGTAGGGAAGCCGACAGTGCAGCCTTCAGTCTGTGGCCGAAGGCCTGGGAGCCCCTGGCAAACCACTGGTGTAAGGCCAAGAGTCCAAAAGCTGAAGAACTTTGAGTCTAATGTTCAAGGGCAGGAAGCATCCAGCATGGGGGAAAGATGAAGACCGGAAGACTCAGCAAGTCTACTCTTTCCTCTTTCTTCTTCCTGCTTTTATTCTAGCCATGCTGGCAGCTGACTAGATGGTACCCACCCAGATTGAGGGTGGGTCTGCCTCTCCTAATCCACTGACTCAAACGTTAATCTCCGTTGGCAACCCCCTCACCAACACACCCAGAAACAATACTTTGCATCCTTCAATCCAATCAAGTTGACACTCAATATTAACCATCACAGTGGGGTTCCCTCCTCTACACCTTCGCTTCCCAGTTTCTCTATCATCAGAAGGGCATGCACTCAGGCACATACACATTGGTGCACTGTGTCACCTCTCTCAGCCTATTGGTATGTTAAGCCTCAGATCTACTTATGAAATGAGAAGATGTGTTGGTTATGAAAGGGATTTTAAACATCAACAAACAGGTAAAGAAGGACAGAGATCAACCTGGGCATCATGGTGAGACCCAGTCTCTACAAAAAAATTAAAAAATTAGCTGGGCATGGTGGTGCATGCCTGTGGTCCCAGCTACTGGGGAGGCTGATATGGGAGGATCACTTGAGCCCAGGTGGTCGAAGCTGCAATGAGCCATGATTGTGCCACTGCACTCCAGCCTGGGTGAGAGAGCGAGACCCTGTCTCCAAAAAAAAAAAAAAAGACAGGTCAGAGGTCAGATGAAGGGAGAATTGCCTCCAGCAGCAGTTACACAGCGTGGTTGGTCACTTTCTCCACCTGAGCATAGAAGGCCCTGAATGATGGGAGCAGTCAATGAAGACTCCGTTCGACTGTGTGCTCCCCAAAAGCAGGGATTATGTCTATTTAAAAGTGAGGTGAGGTTCTTTATTGCAAGGTGCCATTTTAAAGATGCGTTGCAATCCCTTCTATATAATATTCAATGCAAAAATAAAGAACATGTAAAAAACTGAACCTGGGCTATGTTTATAACTCCACATAGGGAGAAGGAAGAATGAGGTAATGGTGATACATTGGGTGGAGACTCTGCAGAGGAAAATTTTCCATACTTAAGAGTTCCTATGATGTGGTCAGGATGCTGTTCTGATAATAGAGACTAAAACAAAGATCCTTTACTAATAGTGACAAGGGAAAGGCCACAATGCCACAGACAGAGAGAACTGCATGTCAGCGAGAAGGCACAAATTGAAGCCTCACTATGTGACTCTCTGAGGGTGAGCCAGTTATTCGAAGTTGCTGAGGACAGGGATAGTCACTGGTTTACCTGTTCTCACCTGGGCTTATGCCTCATTTCTCAGCAGCTGCCAAACCAAAATCATTCTCTTCCTGAACTAGTCAGAGTTCTCCAGAGAAACAGAACCACTGGGACATAGATATAGAAGGAGATTTATTATGAGGAATTGGCTCACATGATTTTGGAGGCTGAAAAATCCCACGATCTGCCCTCTACAGACTCGAGATCCAAGAGCCCCAGTGGTGAAATTCTAGTCCAAGTCCAAAGGCCTGAGAACCAGGAGAGCCAATGGTGTCAGTTCTGGAACAAGGGCAGGGAAGACTGATGTCCCAGCTCAATCAGTCACACAGAAAGAAGAAGGAGAGAATTCCTCCCCCTTTCCCCTTTTGTTCTATTCAGACCCTCCACAGATTGGGTAATGGCCACCTACACTGGGGAGGGTGATCAGCTTCACTGAGTTTACTGATTTAGATGTTCAACTCATCTGGACACACTGTCTTGGACACATCCAGAAATAATGTTTAATCTGGGCACCCCTTAGCGCAGTCAATTTGACACAGAGAATCAACCATCACACTTTTCTGGTAAATTAGTCCGTTCTTGCATTGCTGTAAAGAACTACCTGAGACGGGATAATTTATAAAGAAAAGAGGTTTAATTGGAACACAGTTCTGCAGGCTGTACAGGAAGCGTGGCTGGGGAGGCCTTGGGAAACTTACAGTTGTGGCAGAAGGTGAAGGGGAAGTAGGCAGGTCCTACATGGCTGGAGAAGGAGGAAGAGGGCGAAGTGGAAGGTGCTACATACTTTTAAACAACCAGATCTAGTGAGAGCTCACTATCACAAGAACAGGGGAAAATCCACTCACATGATCCAGTCACCTCCTGCCAGGCCCCTCCTCCAACATTGGGGGTTACAATTTGACATGAGGTTTGGGGAAGGACACAAATCCAAACCTCATGACCTGGGTAGCATCTCTTTCCTTTTTCCTTTCCATGGTATGTGTTCCTTTTCTAGAGCCTTCTATGGGTTGCTCTGCCTTTTTACTTTAGAAAGAAAGTTCTAGAATGAGGCTTCATTTACTCTCTTCTTATTCCACCAAATGGCTCTCAGAATAAGCCAAGCACCATGCACATATACCACATGCAATATACAAAAGCATTGGTATTGAATAAGATTCAATTGAATATTTGAACAATTTTAGCACAAAGACTCAGGTTTGTAGGTGACATACAGAAACTACGGATCCTTCACTTACTAATTTTATTTGTAACCAAATGAGTAGAAATTACATAGTACCACTTTTATAGAGAGAGGGAGATTAACAGTCTTTCAGAGGTGGCACATCTTGTCTTCATTCATTCATTCCCTTGTGGGCAGGGAGATGGATGAATGGGCCAACCATGCTTTCTTGAGATAATTCTTTTTGAAAATAAGTTGCATTCTTTCTAGTGGCCATTTTTTTTTAAGTGAAATGTGTTTGAAAAACGTTGGCTTCAATTTGCCATTCCTCTTAAACCATGCATTGCTTTAGAAACAGGCCAGGTTTTTTTGAATGCTGAAACAAGTTTCCAATAAGTGTACCATTCCAGAAGACCTTGTGGAATCCTCATTCTCTTTTAGGTTGCACTCAACCTGTGCTGCCAGGACCTCAAAGATTACACCACTTGGTCATACGAGGGGAGAATCCTGTAAGTTGGAGGCTGTTGGTTATGGTCAAAGGGTTTCATCAGAACACCCTCTTTTTGCTAAAGGTCACCTAGAACTGAGTGGAGCCCAGCACATTTTCGGAGTTGGCTGTCTGTGTCATCTGCATTTAGTCAAGTTTCATTTCCTGTGGTTTGTAGATTTCTTAAGTGTGAAGTAACGAACCCCAAACAGTTAAAATTCTTTACCTAAAAATGGATGAAATGAGAAAAAAAAATAAGTATTTTTGTAACTTCTGTGGGGAAGTGAGACTGGGGTTCCACTGAGCAGTTCCTTGTTGCTGCGCACATAAGGCCAGCCCCTCTGCGGGAAGGTCCATGACACTTGGAGTTCAGATCTCCTTGCTGGGCATCTTAGGAGGTGACAAAACGAGACCCATTTTCTGACAATTCAGACAAAGTGTCTGCTTTTACTTTCATGTCGTGGGAGAACAGTCAACAGTGCAGTTTCCACCAGAACCCACTATATCTCAGTCACACACCCCTCTGATTTTGTGCAAGAGTTGTTTATCTTCCATACAGATTTTTCTGAGTCTTTGGCCACAGATGAACAGAAAACAGTTGAGGTAGGAAGGTGAGAAAAAAAGAAGGGAAACTTATCCTGAGTTTGCTTTCTTTCCATTCCCTTAACCTTAGGGCAGACAGTTTTTTGTTTGCTTGTTTTGTTTTGTTTTGTTTTGTTTTGAGACGGAGTTTTGCTCTTTCACCTAGGCTGGAGTGAAGTGGGGCAATCTCAGCTCACTGCAACCTCTGCCCCCTCCCCACCAGCAATTCTCCTGCCTCAGCCTCCGGAGGAGCTGAGACTACAGGTGCGCGCCACCATGCCCAGCTAATTTTTGTATTTTCAGTAGAGACGGGGTTTTGCCATGTTGGTGAGGCTGGTCTCAAACTCCTGACCTTAGGTGATCCACCCACCTCAGCCTCCCAAAGTGCTAGGATTACAGGTGTGAGCCACCGTGCCCAGCCAGGGCAGACAGTTTGAGGGTTCATGGGAGGCCTTTAATTACGGAAAATGCTACTGGGGATAGTAGAGGACTTTTAGTGAAGACCTGGTCCCCAGACTCTTTATGGGACTTTTTGGTCTGCACAGCTCCTTCTGTTGGGTCTTTGTTTTCAGTGAGAGCTTCCTTGACCACTTTCTGCAAAACTGCAACCTTTCCTTCAACTCTTACTTCCTTGTTTGTTTTGGTTTTTGAAACCACTTGTCACTATCCACACATTATATAATTCACTTGCTTTTTGTCTGTCGTCCCCTTCTAGAAGGTAAGCATCATGAAGGCAGGGATGTTTGACCATTTTTTGTCCTGCTGCAAACATAATGAATGCCTAGGATGGAGCCTGACATATAGGAGGCACTCAGTGAATATTTATTAAATGGGGAATGAACCCTTGCTCTTTTTAAACTTGCTGAAGCAAGTAGATGAATCAATCACTTCTTGGCCTTTTGGCTAAATCAAGTGAAGCAGATGAGTCAGAAACTGGAATTGCGTCTTTTTCTCTTTGTTTTCTGCCCCCAGCTCCTCGCACAATTCTTGGACTATGTAGGAACTGAAAAGTAATGGTTGTTTGACTAAAGTATGCATGCATGAATGAATGATTGAGTCTGGTTTACAACGTGACTTTTGATGTAAAAACTGTTGTTTATTTGGGTACTTAACACATATAAAGCAAACCATGCTAATCCACGGAGAGTCAAAGATGAGTCAGACATGGGTCAGACATGGGTCTTGCCTTCAAGATGCTAAATAGACTTCCTTTGTCCTGAGTTTACTTTCTTTCTGTTCCCTTAACCGTAGGACAGTCTGTGGGGTCACAGGAAGTCTTTTCTTAGGGGAAATGCTCCTGGGGGTTGTAGATGATGACTTTCAGTGAAGACCTGACCTCTAAACTCTTTTATGGGACTCAACTATCATAGCTTGTATTTTAGTCTAAAGAATCTCAACATTTTGTCTCTATTTCAAATAATAGTAATTGGATTTTCACTGTCGTATAAATTCTTCCCAAGAAATGAAGGTTAGCCAGGTGCTAATTACGCCTGTAATCCCAGCACTTTGGGGGGCCGAAGTGGGTGGATTGCTTGAGCCCAGGAGTTGGAGACCAGCTTGAGCAACATGACAAAACCCCAACCTACAAAAAAAGAGAAAACATTAGCCGGGTGTGGTGGTGTGTGACTGCAGTCCCAGCTACTTGGGAGGCTGAGGTGGGAGGATCTCTTGAGTCTGGGCTGCCAAGGCTGCAGTGAGCTGGGATCGCGCCACTGCACTCCAGACTGGGCGACAGAGTGAGACCAGCCTCAAAAAAAAGGAAAAAAAAAAGTGAAGGTGGCAACATGCTTGTTGCTGGAGGTTTATTAGAAGAACATAGACATGAAAGTCATACAATCCCTGTTCCAAGAACTTAAAACACCAGTGAACAAGAGGCCACGGGCTGTAATATATATTAACAAAGAGAAAATGTTTCTAGAACTCATTTATAAATCTTGCATTATTAAGTGTAAGTAGGAGAAAGTTGGTTGGTTTTCCATCTAGGTTCTAGATTTATTTCCACATGCTAAGTCTGTGGAAATTGCCCTGGAATCCAAGGAGATGTTTCTCTGGTGACCAGGGGTGGGGGTGAAGATTTGGGGCTGGAGGTGTCTGTCTTTGGGAGGGTAAGGCCAGCAATGGTATGCTCCTAGTCTGAAGTGAACGAGACTTCCTGGCCTGCCTATTTCAAGATGTGCCAATCTGTGTCCAGTCCTCTGCCATTTTGCCTTGAGAAGGTGTCAGGCTAATGAGATAGGATTTCCAAGTACAAAGCACCCTCCTAGGCCGAATCTGTTAAGTGGTGTTACCACTCAGGGTTTGGAAACCCTGTCATTCATCCTCCTCAGAGTCATTGGAGAGCAGTCTGTGCTTTCCCCTCTCTACATGGGCAGAGAGCAAATTGCTTCCAGATTTTTCTGTTTAGGAAATTTAACAGATCATTTATTGTTCATAAATGGGAAAATACAAAAATACCTAAAATGAGGGTTTGATTTAGTCCTCTGTATTCAAGGTGAGCCTGATGTGGTGTTGATGGACTGGGCACATGTGCCTTAAAGAGGAGCTGAGCTGCACCTGTGCAGCAAGCTGTTTAGCCTTGACATTGTGCTCACATGCCCATGGGACACCTCAGTAGTCTAGTTAGTATGACCTATTCTTCTCCATCCAATCCTATGTCCTCTTAACACAGTGGGAATGGAGGCATGGAACTTTCCAGAAGTTTGCCCAGGTTGTAAGGTGAACCAGTTACCGGTTACCAGGAATGAAATTTTCAGTGTGCACAAATTGAAGCAGAATTGCCTAATTTTTTGTGTGTGCTGCAAGCTGCGTTTCTACACTCTTTCACTTTCTTTTACTATTTTCTTATTTGTTTGTTTAAAATTTAATGTTGGCCCTTTGTAAAAATTTCTTAGAGAAGGAGGAATTCTGAAGGTGACATTAACATCCAAAATCAGAAGTAAAGTGATGATCTTTAACTGTTTGCATCCTGGAGGAATCTCTCTACCCACTTCTTACTTCTCACTTCCTTCCCCCACATTGGTATAAAAAGAAGAACTTGTATTGCATGCCAGGAACCCGAATGTCCAGTCACTTGTCTCCTTGGAGTGCACCTCTCCTTCCATTCTGATGACATGGAAGGTGGAAATTGTCATCTAGAAATTTCAACTGGTGGTCACAAAGCCTCCCAAGAGAGAAAATCCAAAGTTTTCAAATCTCAAAGATGGTAATTGTTGGCGTTGCTTTTGCAATTTACCCATGTTTTCCTGAAAACCTTCAAATGAAGTGAAATTTTGGCCCTGGAAGTTCCCTGTGAAGTCAGCCTCTTTATCGCCCCCATGCCCCACACTGGTTCGGAGTGGTGTAGGAGCCACCTTACCTTGCTCTACTCCTCAGTGTTTCCTGGTAAATCAGTTGCTGCTCCAGAATTTGTATCTAGGAGGAGCACAGGGGCCAGAACAGGTTGAAAAGACATTAAAGGACTTGTCCTAAAGTCGTTCCTGCACAGCGCTTTATGGAAGATGAGAAAATATCAATTGTTTATATCAGCGATGGGGAGGAGGAGCTGATGAAGTTGGAGTGCATGGCCGACACTCAGCACCCAGCCCCTCTCCCCTTGCCCTTCACTTCAGTGCCTGTGACCCCACTTCTGGCACCTGCATGCCTCTCTGTAAAGGCTTCCTCTCACCCCAGAACCTGCCTCAAGCCCCTGAGGAGTAATTGTCACCCAATCCCTGATCAGACTTTGTGAATAAATACTGCAGCTCACTTTCCCTAGGGTAGGTAGCTGTGGAGCTGGCTCCCAGGGATCCCCAGGAGGGTTAAGCCTCAGTCCCTACAGGAGTAGCCAGCTGCATAAATCCTGTGGTGGCTGCTTTCCCTCCCCTGTCCCGGCTTCCCACCTCTCCTCCTGTTCCCTTCACATATGAACTGCTTCTCCCTGAATCCCTGCCTCAGGGTCTACTTCTAAGGGAACCTGAACTAAGAGAGGGTCCCTTGGCACAGTCACTGTGTTGAACACAACCATAACATATTTTAAAACGTTTGTGCCAGCTACTCGGGAGGCTGAGGCAGGAGAATCGCTTGAACCTGGGAGGCGGAGGTTGCAGTGGGCCAAGATTGCGCCACTGCGCTCCAGCCTAGGCGACAGAGCAAGACTCCGTCACAAAACAAAACAAAACAAAA
This sequence comes from Homo sapiens, assembly GCF_000001405.40. Classification (NCBI taxonomy): domain Eukaryota; kingdom Metazoa; phylum Chordata; class Mammalia; order Primates; family Hominidae; genus Homo; species Homo sapiens. The sequence continues at coordinate 14,655,418 of NC_000010.11, read as the reverse complement.
TATTTGTGAGGCTGAGATAGAAAAAAAAGAAAAGAAAACCCTATCAAAAATAATTAAAACACTAAATGCAAACTATCTTCTTTGACTACTTACTACTGCTATGGTTTGGATATTTGTCCCCTCCAAATCTCATGTTGAAATTTGATCCCCAGTGTTGGAGGTGGGGACTAAAGGGAGGTGTTTTGGTCATAAGTGCAGATCCTTCTTCATGAATGGCTTAGTGTCAATCTTGATGGATTGACGGAGCTCTCACCCTTATTTCCCATGAGATCTGACGGTTAAAGAATCTGGCACCTCGTTCTCTCTCTCTTGCATCCTCTCTTGCCATGTAATCTCTGCACATGCCAGCTCCCCTTTTGCCTCAGATGCTGGTGCCATGCTTGTACAGCCTGCAGAACCATGAGTCAAATCAACCTCTTTCCTTTATGAATTACCCAGCCTCAGGTATTTCTTTATAGCAATGCAGAATGAACTGAGACACTACCCCACAGACTGGTTAAAATGGTAGCATTCTCAAGCTTCTTAAAATTCCTTTTCTGAACACAGTTCTCTGACCTTTTCTGAACACAGTGTTCTATGCATCCACTGAGGGGCATTTAATGATTTTAATGATTAGTAAAAGGGAACGGGATTTTTTCACCTTGAAGTTGACTATCGCAAAGCATATCTACTTAGTTACTGGTGTATTTCAACTCAACTTGAACATGCTTATTTGAGCGTAAGAATGGACTTAAATCATAAAATCATTTATTTTTGAATTACCCTATGTGGGCCAAAATATTTGGATTAAATGCTGTTTGTTTCTGTGCAAAATGGAATACATAATCAGATATTTTGTTTTGAGCCTTAAACAACAGCTAAGAGTCTTAAACGAAACTAGCTAAGATCACCTCTGATTTCTTATCCTTCACCACAGAGAGATGATGAGAGCAAGAGATAATAAAACGCAACAGCAATATGTTACTAAAGACCTTTCTCCAATGAATTATGGCTTTCATTAATGAATTAATGCATAGCTGTAATTAATAATTAGGGTTAATATGCGGTCTATATTCCACACAGATATTCAGAAAATAGGAAGTAATTCTGAAGACCCGAAAGGTTATTTCAACTGCTTATGACTGATGTTACAACCAGAGCAAACTCAGCTGTAGATGTGTTTTTGTGGCTTGCAAATTTTTTGAAAATTGGTTGCCAATGTTTAAAAACTGGAAAATTTCATGTAAAAATCTAGGTTCCAATTTCTCTTGAGAAATTGTAAGAACTAGCCAAACCAGGCCTGCATTCCTAAGCAGTGGAAAAAAAAAAAAAATCAACTGGAGTTGCCTTTTTAGCTGGTACCTCCCTATCCTGCCTGGCCCCTGCAGGCATTTGGGGTTTAAATGCCAGGCTTATGACGTTAGAAGAAATATGAGATGAAAGGAAGAAACACAAACAAATAATAAACCTTACAGTTTTCAGGCAAGAAGAAACTCTTCCTTGCATATTTACAGTTGTGTGGACAGTGTTGTGTTTTTGCTTGTTTGTCAGAAATCTCTTCCTTGGCTGTGGTCTGAGGAGCAGGTAAGATCGTGTGGGGTCATTGCTATGGAAACAGGAGAAAACACTAGCCTCAAGCTTGTGGGCGTTACCTCACCCAGTGATCTTTACACAATTCCCTGAAGTTTCCCGCGGTTACATTTTACTGTGTATAAGAGGCTAATACTATACTTTTTAGGGGCATTTTTGTGATTTCAGTAATGAATAATTACAAAATATTTTGCAACTGTGCATTGCCACCAAGGAAATGGAACCACATGGATGACTGTGGCTGCACAGCTAGAAATAACAGTTCTAGCTTGCACCATGATGGCACAGGTGCTTAGAGGTCTCAGGAAAAGTTCCCGAACCATGGGCTTTTCTCCCAGAGCTCTTCCTTGAAAGGGGAACTGAGAGGCCACTGTGTGCTCCTGAGAGGCTGGAGTGAAGAACAGCTTCTGTTCTTGCTCAGCAAGGCTGGTGATGTGAAATTGCCTTTGAGAGCATTTGCCCGCCTGGCTGTGTGCCTGGCACCTTTTAGATAGATTTCGATCAGCATAACTCCAGTGTGCATGGTAATCATGGAAATTTTCAGCTTTCTTCTCCAAGGAGAAACTGATAAAAAGAACAAACTGCCCTTGGCTTTTTCTGAGCCATGGAAACAGAACAGTTCTAAGACTCAAAAAGTCAGGGCACATTTTGCAAAGGCCTGATTCTAGTATTTGGCCTTAATTGTAAATACCGTGGCAGTGGACCATTAGGTCACAAGTGTAATTTGTCCATGTGTTCATTCAACATTTATGGAGCCTTCTCTCTACTCAGGGATTGCGAGTTTTGCCTTCTTGGTTTTGTGTTCAGCCAAGGCCAGTTATGACGCTCAACCCTGATGGCCATGTTTCTAGAAGTCCATGCATCACATTTTTTTCTGTGCCTGAATTCGTTTCATGACTGCTATGCTGCAAGTGGGCTCACAGTATGTGGTTTCTCCCAACAACCTGAAAGGGCTTAAAGAAAATGGATAATTGCATTAACTCCTTCGGATGACTATAACTTTCTCAGTTTCCTACCAATTCTAGTCCACTGGTGGTGTCCTGAGTTAATCTGGTCCAGCTGCGGTATTTGATTTTAGCACATTCAGGAGCGTATTACCTTAAATAGTCTTTTCTCACAACTGAACACAAAACGTCTGGTATCCACGCTACCCTTGATACTATAGCAATAACAATGCTAACATTTTCTAAGTAGTGTTCTTAGAACACTTAGAACAATGCATAACGTGCCATGCTAAGTGCTTTACATGGATTTTTTACTTAATTCTCTTAACAGCCCTAGAAAGTAGTACTATATTTTCTCCCCTTTGCAGGTAAGAAAACTCAAGCTTTAAAAGTTAATTTAACCAAGGTTGCATGGCAAGAAAGAGCTGGAGCCAGGACTCAGTCCAGGCCTGGTTGAGTCCAAACCCCTATATTTTCGTTATTTCCGCAGCTCTGCAAAAACCAATACGTATCTGGACAGAGTTGAGAATTTCTCTCTATAGTGAGAGGGTTGATTTTGTATCTTTCTGACTTAGTGAGTTTATCAGCAGGGATCTGGGATCTGGTGCTCTTTAGAAAGCCTAACCCTCCTGGTTTCTGTCAGGAAGGAGCTCTGCAGGAGGGTGAGCTCATGGAATTTTCCATGTGCATAGAAAGTCATGCTTTGATTGAGATGAAGTATAGAAATAAGAGTCACTGCTTTTTTTTTTTAACATTTGAAGTTGAATATCTATGTTTTAGATCTGACTTCACTCCATCAAAACATTATGTTTAACTCTGGTAGAATCAAAGACAACAAACATCCCTCGAACTTGGCCCTTCTCTCCGACTGTACAACTTCTGTTTATGGTGCTACCCTCCATCCTGGCTTCAAGCTTCAAGGTCATGTTGGATTCCTTCTTTCCACTTCACCTCTGTATGAATCTTATTGAGTTCCTTTGCTGTATTTCTCACACATATTCCTAATTTTCCAGTCTTGGTATCACACTCTGGTTTGGGTTATTATTCTCTTACACCCAAACCATTTTCATCATCTCCTAACTTGTCTTTCTGTGTCCAGGCTTTACCTGTTCTTATAAACCCTACACACCGTCAGATTATCTATTCGCCTATTAAAATCCCACCTAGCCTTGAGGGTGCAAGTCAAATTCTACAGTCTCAAGGAAGTCATTAAGTACCTACAAAAAAGTAATCTCCCCAGTCCCCTTCTTATGGCTCATAATTTACGGTTATGTGTGGATATATCTGTTTTGTTTTGTTTTTTGAGACGGGGTTTCACTCTTGTTGCACAGGCTGGAGTGCAATGGCGCGATCCCAGCTCACTGCAACCTCTGCTTCCCAGGTTCAAGCAATTTTGCCTCAGCCTCCTAAGTAGCTGGGATTACAGGCATGCACCACCACGCCTGGCTCATTTTGTATTTTTAGTAGTGACGGGGTCTCTCCATGTTGGTCAGGCTGGCCTCGAACTCCCGACCTCAGGTGATCTGCCCGCCTCAGCCTCCCAAAGTGCTGGGATTATAGGCGTGAGCCACTGCGCCCAGCCATGTGTGGATATATCTTATCCACACATGGCAGAGATGGCCAGATGTTTATCCAATATTCATATTCTTTAGCCAGAGAATCCTAATATTGTCAAGTGCAGTTATAGCCCAAGCTCTAAAACAATATTTCCCAGGCTCCTTATAGATAGGGCTGGCCAATGATATACTAGCTAAAGTTGTCAAGTGGTGTCTTAATTTGGTTCCCCCAGAAGTAGACCCTGAGACAAGGATTCTAGTACAGCTTGCTTAATTTGGAGGTTGTCTCAGGAAGCGTCAGTAGTAGAAAGAGGCCAATAAAGCATTGCTTATTAGGAAGAGTATCATTTTTGGTGACTGGAGTTTCATCCTACTGGGGAACTCTGGGATGTAGCTCAGACGCTAGAAGTTTCCTTCACTATCATTAACACTTAACGCTGAACTTATCCTAAAATTGGAGTAGAGTGCATTGTAAGCATAAGAGCAAGGGAATATGGTTGAGTTTTTAAAAAATATTATTTTTACTTTTACTATGAGCATATACGACTTCTTGAAATTTAGTGATATAACAAAATAGAAAGAAAGCTAATGATTTAATGCTGTGTAGAAAGAAGTAGGATATAAAAATGTTTACCATAACTGTAAGTACAGAACACAACAACTGATGCATAGTTTTATGGAATGGAGGAACTAAACCAGAATGCTCAATACGTAGCACAATACGTAAGCAATAAGTATTTGTTACTCTTAAATAAGTATCGAGAGGCCGGGCGCGGTGGCTCATGCCTGTAATCCCAGCACTTTGGGAGGCCAGGGTGGGAGGATTACCTCAGGTCGGGAGTTCGAGACCAGCCTGGCCAACATGGTGAAACCCCATCTCTACTTAAAATACAAAAATGAGCCAGGCATGGTGGTGGGTACCTGTAATCCCAGCTACTAGGGAAGCTGAGGTGGGAGAATTGCTTGAAGCTGGGAGGCAGATCATCATGCCACTGCACTCCTGCACTCCAGCCTGGGTGACAGAGCAAGACTCCATCTCAATGGCAAAAGAAAAAAAAAATCAGAGTTAAGAATGAATTCGTTTATTTTCCAAATTTTCTGTAATGAGCTTATATAACCTTCCTAATGAAAAAAAAAAACTGTATGCGAATAAGACTGATTTTACAACCCAAAACAATAATGCAGGTGAAGAGGCTTTCATGCTTTTGCTAGGAAGACCTCAAATGTAGCATTGACAAAAGTGGGGCTTCTGGAAAGCTTCCTCCAGGGAGCACGTCCTTCCTCCTTCTTCCTATCTGGGACATTGACAGGATACTATGGCAGCCACCTCGGACCAGGTGTTGACCCAAGAGATGAAACCATGTGTTAAGGATACTGGAGGAAACGCACAGGACATGCCTGCATCTCTGATGACTGAAGAGCAGCAATACTAACTCTGCACTGAGTGCCCACTGGCCCTTATTATGTGTAATGGTCAAACAATGTGCCAATGAAAAGAGTCAAACTCTATAAAAAATTTGAAGAGATGTATTCCGAGCCAAATATGAGTGACCATGGCCTGTGACACAGCCCCAGGAGATCCTAAGAACATGTGCCCAGGTGGTCAGACTACAGCTTGGTTTTATACACTTTAAGGAAACATAAGACATAAATTAATACAGGTAAGATGTACATTGGTTCAGTCTGGAAAAGGTGGGACAACTCGAAGTGGGGGGTGTCCAGGTCACAGGTGGATTCAAAGATTTTCTGATTGGCAAGTGCTTGAAAGTGTTAAGTGATTATCTAAAGATGTGGAATCAATAGAAGGGAGTGTCTGGGTTAAGATAAGAAGTTGTGGAGACTAAGGTTCTTATTATGTAGATGAAGCCTCCAGATAGCAGGCTTCAGAGAGACTAGATGGTAAATGTTTCTTAACAGACTTTAAAAGGTGCCAGACTCTTAGTTAATTCTCTCCTAGATCAGAAAAAAGACCTGGAAAGGAAAGGGAATTCTCTATAAAACATAGGTTTTCCCCACAAGAGACAGCTTTGCAGTGCCATTTCAAAATGTGTCAAAGAAATGTATTTTGGGATAAAATATCTTGATTTCTTTCAGGTCCTGCTGTCTGTCATGTGGTTATCTTATTGCTACGCAGAGTCTGTTTTGTCAGTCTTATGGTCTCTGTTTTAATGCTAATGTTAGTCAGCAGTGCCTGAATTCCAAAGGGAGCAATATAAACTGAGGCATGTCTGATCATGCATTCCCATCATGGCCTGAACTGGTGTGCTTATTTTAGAATGCCCTTGGCCAAGAGGAGAGGTCCATTCAGCTGGTTGTGGGGCTTAGAATTTTATATTTGGCTTACGAATGAAACCTACCATGTTGTTTATACTGCCATTGTGTTACCATTATTTGTAGACAAACCTCATCCTCGTTTGTGTTTCTAAGACCAGGAAGCTTCTTTAGGGGAATTGTCTCTGTGTCTTTTTTAATCTCTATCATAGCATCCATGCAGTGCACATAGAACCAAGTCCTCGATAAATATTTATGGAATGAAGAACTTGAATTAAACCAACTTGGAGAATGGTGTGGAAAGTACTGGGCTAGATGACGTGGGTTCTGAAGATGAAGAGAACAGTATCTCATTCTCAAAGAACTGATAGTAAAATTACATGTGGGTTGTGGGTGTGTCACTGTTTGCCACCGACGCACCTGGGTGGGGTCAGGCAGAAGGTGCCTGTCCTCTGTGTCTCAATAAAACACAAGATGCCCATTCACTTCTGGTTTTCTCCTGGTATCATTGGCTCTTCGGTGTCTGCTGGAAAAGCTGGGCTTTTCCCAGTGTTACCATGACGTCTGAGCTTTGAGAGCTGTTTCTTTTCCCCTCGGAGCCTGAGAGAGATTATTCCAGTGATATCTGAATAGCTTGAGTTCGCTGGGTATGAACACAGAGGAAGTGGTTCCCTAGCAACAGGCGCCTCTGAAAGCCTCTTAGCACTCAGTACTTCTCCGGGCTTTTTGTTTCCCCTCGTTCATGCTGCCTGTCAGCAAATGGCCAGAGTGATTGCACCTGCTCCAAATTAGGGCTGGTCAGTTCGACCCCAGCAGTTCGGTTTTACTAAGTCAAAGTTCCTCTTTCAGTCAAGCTTCCTTGTGAGGCCTGGGGCCTATTTTGCTCCTGGTTAGACCATAATTACCTCAGATGACACTTCCTTCTTTGTTGTCTAGATTTTGACCAGAAATGGAAAATACCGAAGTGACTGAGATCATTTTAATTGAATTAGTAAAAGAATACTTTTTTTTTTTGGCACGTCTTTTCAAATATGCTAAACCTCTTAAGAAAATGTTTTATATCGCCTTTTTTTTTTTCCGCTAAAAATGGATTCTCACTCCATTTTTTCAGTTTCTCCGCAGAAGACTTAACAAATTCTGCCTTCCTTAACTGTGTCAGCATCTCAATACATATTTGAATATATGAGTTGGTTGGGGCAATATTAGAGGGTGTTTACCGCATTGCCTTGGCATCTGGAGACAGCCCTTACTGAGAGCATTGGTCATTGGTACAGACCATGGCATATAACTCTGAGATGAGTCCAGAATTGTTGACTGCAAATGCCTTGTTTCATTTTCAAACAGCAATCCATATTACTGTTTGAATTAGCAATCTTTTTTTTTTTTTTTTTTTGAGATGGAGTCTAACTTTGTCACCCAGGTTGGAGTGCAATGGCACGATCTTGGCTCCTCTGCAACCTCCGCCTCCCAGGTTCAAGTGATTCCTCCTGCCTCAGCCTCCCGAGTAGCTGGGACTACAGTCACCCACCACCATGCCTGGCTAATTTTTTTGTACTTTTTTTAGTAGAGACGGGGTTTCACCAAGTTGGTCAGGCTGGCTTCAAACTCCTGACCTCAAGTGATCCACCCACCTTGGCCTCCCAAAGTGCTGGGACTACAGGCCTGAGCCACTGCACCCAGACTGAATTAGCAATTTTATAGGAGATGGTTATACGTCTCTGCCTACCAGTTGGTTAGTATCGATTTGTAGCACTGAAAATCTGGCCAAGACTGTGGTGATGAATGACAGCATACAACTAAATTGAGCCTCACAGCTCCCGGAATTCTTCTTGTCTGTACCTTTTAAAATATTTTCTTTCCTTCATTCATTCAACCAACAAATATTTGTAATTATAATTGAGTGTCTGCTATGTGGAAGACTTTCTGTGGGAAAAACGTGAATGGCCCATCTTAGGAAGTTCTCCATTTAAAAGAGGAGAAAATGGAGCCGGGCACAGTGGCTCACACTTGTAATCCCAGCACTTTGGGAGGCCGAGGCAGGCGGATCACGAGGTCAGGAGATCAAGACTATCCTGGCTAACACGGTGAAACCCCGTCTCTACTAAAAATACAAAAAAATTAGCCAGGCCTGGTGGTGGGTGCCTATAGTCCCAGCTACTTGGGAGACTGAGGCAGGAGAATGGCGTGAATCCAGGAGGCGGAGCTTGCAGTGAGCAGAGATTGTGCCACTGCACTCCAGCCTGGGTGACAGAGTGAGACTCCGTCTCAAAAAAAAAAAAAAAAAAAAAAGGAGAAAATGGAAGGTAAATCAGTACAACCTCAATGGAAAACAGTATGGCGAGCTCTCAAGGAACTAAGAGTAGATCTACTATTTGACCCAGCAGTCCCACTGCTGGGTACCCACCCAAAGGAAAAGAAGTCATTATATCAACACCTTGCACTCATATGTGTATTGCAGCACAATTCACAATTGCAAAGACATGCAATCAACCTAAGTGCCCATCAAGCAATGAGTGGATAAAGAAAATGTGGCATTTATATGCTATGGAATACGCCTCAGCTATAAAAAAGAATAAATGTCTTTTGGGCAACTTTGATGGAGCTGGAGGCCATTATCCTAAGTGAAGTAACTCAGGAATGGAAAACCAAATACTGCATGTTCTCACTCCTAAATGGGAGCTAAGCGATGGGCATACAGAGTGGTACAGTGGACACTGGAGACTCAGGAGGAGGGAGGGTGGACGGGGGTGAGGAATGAAAAATTCCCTATTAGGTACAATGTACACTATTTGGGTGACAGGTACACTAAAGGCCCAGACTCCCTCACTATATAATTCATCTATGTCACCAAAAACCGCTTGTACCTCTAAAGCTATTGAAATAAAAAAAACATTTTTTTAAGTGGGTAAGATGCATACACATGTAACTAATGACTGTCAAGCAAGATCACAGCCTAAAGAAAGATAAGCCATGCATTACGGACAATCTGTTTAATCACCTATCACCTCTTCCCCGAGAGGACACTGGTGGAGTTTTAGAGTAACCAACCTTGCAGAGTGGTCAACTGGAGAGGAGGGAGGAGAGCTGAGAAGTTTGGGTCTGTTCTGCAGATAAATCGAGGGCTTGTTTCCAACACTATTAGTCCAATTCTTATTGTTAACCTTTCATTCATTAAAACAACAAAACTGTAAAATCACCTCTGTGTCATGATATTCATTTCCACCCAATGGGTTATTTTTCATCAATGTTAAGAACTTGACATATGTCAGCCAAAGTGACATATAACAGAAATCAGGGAGAGAATTTATCTGGGAGCTGGGAATAGTAAAAAAAATAAAATAAATCCTAGCTTAGGTGAAATTGGAATTGCCGCTGTTTGTCTCATTTTCCTCCCAGGCATTATTTTCCACTTGTAAAAGAGAAAGGAAGAAAAATACGTCTCAGTAGCCAAGCCCTCTGGGAGAGAGGTTCTCTCTTTAACAGCCACATCCCCCTACAAGCTGAGGAGTCTCTCCAGGGTCCTGTGCTCAGTTACAATCACAGTCACAGTGAACCAGAAAGAATGAGTTATAAATGAATGGAGATGTGGGGGAAGAAAGGACCATCTGAATCAGACAGCCACAGTGTGTTCTTTCTCAGGCTTGCTTAGACGAACGGGAAACGGAAACCTAAAAGCCATTCTTGGTGTATACAGGTGACAAGCCCTTGGGGATCATTTCAGACTTACTAAAATAGCCACTGCCTTCTGAGCAGTTGACACCCCTGGAAGATTTATAAAGTGGAGAATGCGAGACAGGCAGTAAAGGAGCTTTTTGTAGCCAAATAAGTGAATTGCACCCTTGGGCAGAAAGGACAGTCAGGTCCTGCCCATGAAAAGAACTACATTTCTCCAGCAGCATGTCCTGAATCACAAAGCTGGGGCCCTGTTGTAACTAAGTGGTTCCTCAGGCATAGTTTCCTCTCCCTACCACACTCAGTATTTTCCATTTTGAATCAAATCACATTCAAGAAAGATAATGGCTGATTATTATTTTTAGAATCCTGGAAATGGATTCCCCGTGACACTTGGTGAGCAGGTTGGGACCAGGCTTTGACTCCTATGCCCATTCATGCAAAGTAAGGAAGTTAATATTTATTGAGCACCTACTAGACCAGATATGCTATGTATATCCCTTCTTATAATTAGGAGGCAATTTATTACCTGCTTTGTGCAGCTGGCCACGAAGATGATGGGACAGAGGAAGCATCTAAGAAAGACCTCTCCTGTCCGATGCACAAAAAGGAGGATGGTTTTTGTGTTTTGTAGTAAGCACACTCATACCAATACTTGCATTTGTGTGGCATTCTTCATAATGCTTTTGCAATCATTTTATTTGGACCTGCCATTAAAATGCCTTGCCATAGGATGGGACAGATAGAATTTTCACTTTATGGGTAAAGAAATTGAGTCATAGAGAAATTAAGTGATATGTTAATGCCATATGGCAAATGAGAAGCAAAACCAAGATGATATTTTCACATTTTCTGAGTTCTAGTGCAGAGGAGAACATCAGACATATCTGTATTATTTATTTCTGTTAATGTACAAATGTACATGGTGTAATGGGTCTTACTTAGCAGGGCAGGCAGCATACGCATGAAAGAACAACATGAGCCGTGCTGGATGCAAATCCCAGCTCAACCTCTGGTTTGTTGTTTGACTTTGGGAAATGTCTTTATCTATACAATAGATAGAAATAGATAAATGACCTACCTCATCAGCTAGGTGTGAAGATAACACAATGTAATATATGGAATATAGTAAAGGGTTAAATAGGGAATTAAATGAGAAGAGTGCCTGGAATATAGTAAGCATTTGATAAATGTTAGCCATCATCATTATCATTGTATCATTGTAAATTTTCAATAAATGTTGGTCTCTTCCCCCACGATTCTACTATCTTACTGCAATAACAGGATTATGTACAGAGTGAGAGAGAATAAGAATACAAAGAGAGAGAGGAAATATCCTTCATTCTTACCCTCTATGTCTCCTTCTCATTACTGGTATCATTAGGCAATTTCCAAGTAAGTAATACAATAGCAGCTCTAAAAATTCTTCAATTGGACAGCTGTTTTCTTATGTCTTTGCCCAAAGTGATGTTGTTGAAATTGCGTTCTTGAGGAATTATTTCCCAGAAGCCTGCAGTTGTTGTGGAGTACTAAAATCATATACCTGAGGGTCTGTGCGATGATTAGTTTTATGTGATAACTTGAGTGGGCCTTGAGGTGCCAAGACATTTGGTCAGACATTATTCTGGGTGTGTCAGTGAGGATGTTTCTGGATGACATTAATGTTTGAGTTAGTTTGCTGCATAAAACAGACTGACAGCCGGGTGCAGTGGCTCACGCCTGTAATCCCAGCACTTTGGGAGGCCGAGGTGGGCAGATCACTTGAGGTCAGGAGTTCAAGACCAGCCTGGCCAACAGGGTAAAACCCTGTCTCTACTGAAAATACAAAAATCATCTGGGTGTGGTGGCATGTGTCTGTAGTCCCATCTGCTCTGGAGGCTGAGGCACAAGAATCACTTAAACCCAGGAGGTGGAGACTGCAGTGAACCGAGATCACATTACTGCACTCCAGCCTGGGTGACAGCATCAGACTCTGTCTCAAAAAAAAAAAAAAAAATTAGACTGACCTCCCTAATATGGGTCTTTGAAGACCTGAGTAAAGCAAAAAGGCTAAGTAAGAGGGGATCCCTCCTGCCGGACTGCTTGAGCTGGGATGCTTGTCTTTTCTAACCTTCAGACTTAGACTAACATTGGTTCTTCTTGGGTTTTAAGCCTGCCAGCTTTTGAACTGAAATTATGCCATCAACTCCACTGAGTCTCCAGCTCACTAATTATAGATCTTGGGAATTCTCATCCTCCATAATCACATCAGCTAATTCCTTATAATAAAGCTATCTATCTGTCTATCTACCTACCTACCTACCTATCTCCAATCAGTTCTGTTCTTCTGGAGAAACCTAATACAAATTTTGGAACCAAGTAGTGGAGTGCTGCTGTAACAAATACTTAAAAATGTGGAAATGGCTTTGGAATTGGGTAATGGGTAGAGGCTGGAAGAATTTGGGGGTGCACACTAAAAATATGAACATTAAGGGCAATTCTGGCAAGGTCTCAGAAATGAGGATTGTGTTACTGGAAATTGGAGGAAAGATGATTCTTTTCATAAACTAACAAAGAACTTCTGTGAACTGTGTTCTAGAGTTTTGTGAAAGGCAGAATGTGTGAGTGACAAAATTGGATATTTAGCTGAGTAGTTTTCTAAGCAAAGTGTTGAAGGAGTGGCTTGGTTCTTCCTGATTGCTTATAGGGAAATGTGGGAAAGAAACATTAATTGAAGAAGGAATTATTAAGCCAAAAGAAACAAGAACTTGCAGACTTGGAAAATACTTCATCTATCCATATTGCAAAAAAAACACCAAGGTCATGGCCAAACTATCACTTGATAGTGTTTATAGGGTTATATGAGCAGAAACACTGCCAGTTTGAACCGAAGGGGATAGAGACATGACAAAATGAAGGAAGGCTATTGGAATTCTTGGATTTCACTAGATGAGAAAGTAGAGGTACTTGGAACATGCACTATTCTCCCAGAAGAGAAAAAATTGATGCTGAAGTTGATGCAGAGCTCATCAGGCCCAGAGCCTTGGTTTCAACCACTGGAAAGCCCCTACCTGAAGCTTTGCAGGAGGACCATCCAGAGGAGCCTTGGGGACACAGCCTTCTGACAAGACCCAGGGTCTGCAAGAACCACAGGGGCAGGGCCCCTGCCTGGAGCTATTGGAGTGATGCTTCCACCCCAGTGAGCCTGGAAGATGGGACATTGAGCCAAAGAGGATAATTCCTGAGCCTTAAGATCTAATAGGATTTGCCTTGCTAGGTTTTGGACTTGCTTGGGGTCTGTCACTCCTTTCTTTCTTCTGAGTTCTCCCTTTCGGAATGGGAACATTTATCTTATGCCTGTCCCAATGTTGTATTTTGGCAGTGCGTAATTTGTCTGGTTCCGCAAGTTCACACCTGGAGAGGAATTTTGCTTCAGGATAAATTGTACCTCAAATTTCACTCATATCTGATTTAGATGATATTTAAAGGAGGCTTTGGACTTTAGACATTACAGTTGATGCTGGAACAAGTTAAGACTCTTGGAGCTGTTGAAATGGAATGAATATATTTTGCATACAAGAAGGATATGAATTTGGGGAGCCAGGGATATAATGCTATAAACTGAATTATGTCTCCCTCCTGCCCCACCACAAATTCATATGTGGAAGCCCTAATCCTCAATGTGATGGTATTTGGAGATAGGGCATTTGGGAGATTTAAAAGATTCCCAATTAGGTTCAGATGAGGTGATGATGTTGGGTGATGTGAATAGTGCCCTCAGAAGAAGAGACATCAGAGCGCTTCCTCTCTCTCTCTTTTTCTCTTTGTCATGTGAGAACACAGCAAGAAGGTGGCCATCTACAAGCCAAGAAGTGAGTCCTCACCATAACCCAACCATACTGGCACTGAGGTCTTGTACTTCCAGCCTCTGGAACTCTGAGAAAATGAATTTCCGTTGTTTAAGCCACCCAGACTATGGGATTTTGTTATGGCGGCCTGAGCTAAGAGAGCCAGTCATCTGAAACTAGCCTAACTTGGTTTTGCATCTATTCTAATAGATGTCTAATCCAAGTACAGAGCTCAATGCAGCAAACCAATGTTGGCTCAAATTAATCAGAAGTCTCATGTGCCAGAGGACCCCAAAATACATTTTATCCATTTATCTGTCAAAATCGGTACTTAATATATAGCTTGGAAATTGTAGCTGTTAGAAATGGAAATTTCCAGCTTGGTTATCATATCTACCTAAGAAAAAAACTACAGAAGGTGGTAGGGCTTTGTTGATGATCAATTATACTATTTAAGCAAACACATTTGGTGAAAGCACGTTTTCCCCTTCTGCTAAAGCTGCTAAAGTAATCTCTTCATTTGTAAGACAAAAGAACATTCACCTAGCAGGACATTATAGAGCCACCATAAATCCTTTGAGTCCAAGCCAATTTGGAGTGGAAACCATAGATAATTACACTGGGTTAAGGGGAAACAATTAAATCTAGATTAAAACTTCTTTAAAGCAAGTTTTTTTCTTTAAAAAAAGGGGAAAATGTGAGAATTGGGCAGTCCCCTTGAAGAAAAGCAGTGTGCCAATATCCTTTGGGAGTGTTTTGTCTCTTCTGGATGCTAGCCCAGGAATCATTAACTAGCTGTGTGACAATGAACAGTTTGACTATTTTGCTGATCTGAGCCTCAGTTTCCTTATCATTAAATTAAGGGGTTGAGGTGCACCATCTATCATCCCAGTTGTCAAATTCTGTGATATTAACTAGGATTTATGCAAGGTGCTATCCTAGGGAATCCAGTAGACAGAAAGAAAATTCACTGGTTTTATTTCACTTGCAAGAAAGCACCTCTTTATTATCCAGTATTTGCCCCTCAGCTAGGTCACACTGGGCTCATCTCAGAGCTCTGTTGGTCCAGGGTTGACTAGTTCTCTGCTTTGTTTCCAAGAGAACTCAAGCAGATGGGAACTTTCCTTGAGAGATGTGGATCCAAAGAGAGTTTACTTTGGGTATGCTAAAGTGATCAATGGAGGCATATGGAAAGAACAGCTGATCACCTTCTACCATTCTGGAGAAATCATTCATTTGTGCACCCATTCATTTCACTGGCACTCACTGAGAGGCAGCAGAGCATGTGGTTAATGGTTCAGGCTCTGTATTCAGAAGCCCTGGGTTCAAATTCTGGTTCCATCACATATGCTTTGTGGCCTTGAACAAGATACCTAACTGCTCTGTTCCTTCATCTATAGTCCTCATCTCAAAGGCTGGTTGTGAGGGTTAAATGAATTAATAAATGCAAAATATCTATAACAATGCCCAGCTCATAGGAATTATTCAGTGATGGGTATGGGTTACCATGGCCAAGCTGTGTATTATTAACAGATACAGATGGGATCTCTGAGAGATGTTGCTATGGACAAGATCAGCATCAGTATACAAAGAAGGAAACGGGTGGCAGTCAGAGTGAATTTCATAGAGAAGGCAATTTCAGCTGAGTCTTAAAGTTAAAGTTAAGATAAGCCTTTGTTAGACAAAGAAAGAAGGTCACTCCGGGTAGTAGCAGCAGTGTTAGCTGAAGGAGGAAGGTGCAAGTCATGCTTAGATTCAGATGACTGTGCTGAGTGTGGCTGGAGTATAGAAGAAAGGGAAAGCAAGATGGGAGATGAGGCTGGAAGAGTAAATGAGGTCATGGAGGGCTCCAAGATGGGGGCAGTCTATGCTCCGTGGAAGCCATTAGAGGTGTTTTAAGCTGGACAATACCATAACCAGGAAGCCCTCAGGTTTGGAGCAAGGCTGGAATTGGAATGTAAGGGAAGTCAAGGAATGGCATTGAACTTAAATCCAGGGTCTGGTGGATCTTGGGGGTAGTCTTGAGAGGAATGAGAAATCTTGTTAATTTTTGCTTATTTCATGATTCCCAGCCCCATGTCACTTATTTATACTGGATTTCCTGACTAGTCCCACATTTGCTGAACCAAAAATCAGGCAGCTTTTCAAATCTGAGTCACAATCTTTTAAAATGGATTGAACACTTGCTGTACAGAAAGGACTGTACCCAGAACAGATATAAAGATGTAAAGCATGGTGGTACCTAACCCTAAGGTTGCTGGTCTTGTTTGAGCTCAGAGGAGAAAGAGGTGTCTTTGGCTTGGTTAGTCAGAGAAAGCTGCCTGGAGGAAGCTGTCTATGAGCTGAATATTTAAAGGTAGGTACAATTATTATTATTATTATTTTGGAAACAGGGTGTTGGTCTGTCACCCAGGCTGCAGTGCAGTGGTGCCATCACTGCTCACTGCATCCTTGACCTCTCAGGCTCAAGCAATCCTCCCCCCTCAACCCCCCAAATAGCTTGGACTACAGGTGGGGCACAACACTATGCCTGGCAAATTTTTTAATTTTTTATAGAGATGGGGTCTCACTATGTTACTCAGACTGGTCTCGAAATCCTGGACTCAAGCAATCCTCCCACCTCAGCCTCCCAAAGTGTTGAGATTACAGGTGTGAGCCACCGTGCCTGGACAAAGTAGGTGAAATGTTGATAGACAGAGAACACTCTAGAAGGAAGTAACCACCTGAGAAAGTTGAGGACATGAGAATGCAATAGAAAGGGCATTAAAGAGAAAACAGTGCAACATCTAGACATGAGACAGTGAGAGCCTAAACTAGGGGGATATTGGCTGCAGCACGGCAAAAGGAGAAGCCGATGTGAGAATAGTAAGGAATAAAAAAGAGCTCTTGGTCACTAACTGGATAAGGGATGAGTGAAGGTGAGCACTGGGAAATGATTAGGAAATAATCCCCTGAAAGGCAGGCAAAAATAGGTAGCAGGCATTTTGGAAAGTAAGGTGCTTAATGTCAAGATAAGACCTCCAAAAGAAAACTATTTCTAAGAGGCAGCTAAAAATGTGGATTGGCATTTTGAGAAAAAGTTAGCATTTGAGATAAAGTTGAATCTCAAACTTAAAGGCTGCATGCCAACATTGGGAGTAGGTGGATTTTCTGGAGAACAGAAAATTCATTCAAAGAGAAGGGAGCATAATGCTTCTACTTTGACTGGAAACCTTTAAGGCATCTTCCACTTCTAGCAATATGGAGGACTTTACAACATGAAACATATCCAGCTTACAGAGGGGAAAAAAAAAAAACCTTAGCAGGCTGTACACAACGTAAGATTTCTGTAAATCCACAGCTAATTGTTAAAGAAAATAATAGAAATTCCCAGGGACCAAAAACAAAGAAGAAACTGAAAACCAGAGTAATAATTTTATAAATTACTGTTATCACTGCTCTTGGGGCAGGTCTTAGAAATCTTTGGCCTTGGGTTTGGTGACCATCTGAGTTGGGAGAGTATATTAGTTATCCTTGGCTATGTTACCACATATTACCACAAACTTAGTGACAAAAAGCACAACATATATTTATGATGTTCCAGTTTCTGTGGGTCAAGAGGCTAAGCATGGCGTGGCTAGGTTGTCTGCTTGGGGTCTCAAATGACTGCAATCAAAGTGTCTGCTAGGCTGAGGTCTCCACTGGAGAGGAATCCACTCTTGTTGGAAGAATTCAGTTCTTTGCAGGTGTAGGTAAGATTGAAAGCTTCTGTTTTTTTCCTGGTTGTCAGCCAGGAGGCCACCCTTAGTGCCACATGGGCATCCTAATATACACCACCCCAACATGTCAGCTTGCTTTGTCAAAGCCAGGAAGGGAATGAGAGACTCCAGCAAGATGAATAAAATCATCTTGGAATCATGTCCATCCTGTCACCCTTGCCATCTGTGTTTGTTTGTTTTGAGACAGGGTCTTGCTGTTGCCCGGGCTAGGGTGCTGTAGCATGATCACAGCTCATTGCAGCCTCAGCCTCACAGGCTAAAGCCATCCTCTGACCTCAGCCTCCTAAGTAGCTGGGACTACAAGCACCATAAAAAGTTAGCCACCACACCTGGCTAATTTTTGTATTTTTTGTAGGGATAAGTTTTGCCATATTGCCCAGGCTGGTCTCGAACTCCTGGGCTCAAGTAATCCACCTGCTTCAACCTCCCAAAGGGCTGAGATTAGTGGCGTGAGTCACTGCAGCTGGTCTCATATTCTATTGGTTAGAGTCAAGTTACAGGTCCTGCCTACACTCAAGAGGAGGATATTATTCTAGGGTATGAACACCAGGAGGTAGGGATCATAGGGGCCACCCCAAAAATCAGACTGCCACAGGGAAAGGCCTGGGTGCTAGGAGGGGCATGGTGTTAGAAATAAGACCCTCGTGAAGCCGAGACCTTGAGGAATGACACTCTTGTTAAAAGGGAGACACCGATGAAGCTTGTTTGTCTCTGCATGAGCCCTGAGTAGGAACAAAGTCTCCCCTGAGAATTCATGATCACAGCTTACACAGTGCATGGGTTTGGGATTTAAGTTTACCTATAGAGTATAATGACTTCCTAAGTTGAAAAATGAGCATACAAAACATCCTAGATCAGTAAATCCTCCAGGACATCTGGCAAAAACAAATGGACAACCTCTTTGGAAAGATATGCCCACAATCCTTTGGAAGGATACCCGCAGATAAAGCTGCATGGGCCATCAACTCAAGCAATTCCAAATTATAAACTCTGCAAGGAGCTGAGCCATAATGACTTGGAGTTCAAGGCTATAGCAGCAGGATTCAACCTCCAAGAACTCGACTCAGTAGACAGCAATATGCATTATGGGCTGAATTATCTTCATACCCACTCCCCCACCCCCCCTAAAATTCATATGTTGAGCCCTAACCCCAGTACTTCCTTCGCCATGTAACTGTGTTTGGAGATGGACCTTTAGAGAAGTGATTAAGTTAAAATCAGGCTGTTAGAGTGGGCCATAATCCAATATTACTGATGTCCTTAGAAAAAGAGAATATTTAGACACACAAGAGATGTAGTGTTCAGTGCTTTGCTTTTCTACTGAAATCTGATTCCTTGGTTCTTATTCTAAAATGTAACATCATTACGTTGAGTTATTAAATAGTTCATATACTCTACCCCCAAAAAGAGTTAGAGGTATGTAGACAACAGGCAGAACGTATACATTTAGTTTTATGTGCACATAGAAGTAGACATTTCTCTCTCTCTCTCTCTCACTTGCTCTCTCTCTCACATGATCCTGGAATTGTTGGCTTTTTTTTTTTTTTTTTGGCTCCTTTTTATAAGAGTCACACTATGGCAAAATCCTGAGTGCATATCCATCCTATTCTGATTGGGCATAGGATGCCACCATTGTGTATGGGGATGAGGGGTGCTCAGATTGATTGGTGAAGGTAGCCAATCCTGAAGCCAAAGGAGCATCGAAGAAGTAGTTGTGCTCCAGGAATTTCAAAGTGTGTTGTTTGAAACTTGGAACACATTTTCTCATAGAAGCAATAAGACAAGTCATGGTATTATTTGTAGATTGGCGTAAAGACTACTGAATTCATTGTGCACCTGGCTCCACAGGAGCTATCATTTATCACAGAATTTCAGTGGAAAACACATTCTGGCCAGGCATGGTGGCTCATGCCTGTAATCTCAATGCGGTGGGAGGCCGAGGCGGGCAGATCACTTGAGGTCAGGAGTTCAAGACCATCCTGGCCAACATAGTGAAACCCCGCCTCTACTAAAAATACAAAAATTAGCCAGGCGTCGTGTTAGGCGCCTGTAATCCAAGCTACTTGGGAGGCTGAGGCAGGAGAATTGCTTAAACCCAGGAGGTGGAGGTTTCAGTGAGCTGAGATCACGCCACTGTACTCCAGCCTGGGTGACAGAACGAGACTGCATCTCAAAAAAAGAAAAAAAAATAGAAAAACACATTCCAAGTTCCAACCAGGGAGGTTTGAAACCTCTCCTTAGAGCAGAACTAACTGTGTGTGCAACTGACATTTTGAGTAGAGCAGAACTTCGTGGTATGGGGCTGTCTCTTACAGTGCAAGAAGGGATATCCCTGCCATATCCCAACCACACGCTGGAGGATCACTGGCAGAGGGTGTTGATTCTTTGTTTGTTTGTTTTAATAAGTAGTGAACAATAGCTAAAATCTCCATTTAGTTCTTTTAGCCTTAGGTGGGCTGTTCGAAGTCTAATGGTTGCAAGCAAAGTTTAGGCATCAGCCAAGCATTTGGGCAGAGTTCCTGTGGAGAATTTAGGGCTTCCTGGTTTCTTGCTCCTGTTCTTCTTCTGCATATTTCTCCTCTTCCGCTTCCAGCTGCCATGGCCCCTGACTGACCCCTACCCTAGTTCTTCAGGCCAAAAAAACTGAGGTTTGTTTCTTTTTCTTCCCCTCCCTCCCTCCCTCCCTTCCTTCCTTTCTTCTTTCCTTTTTTTTTTTCTTTTCTTTTTTTTGGAGATAGGTTCTCTCTCTCTTGCCCAGTCTCTGGATCGCAGTGGTGCAATCTCAGCTCACTGCAGCCTCCGCCTCCGGGGTTCAAGCGATTCTCCCACCTCAGCCTGCCGAGTAGCTGGGATTACAGGTATGCACCACCATGCCTGGCTAATTTTTGTATTTTAGTAGAGATGGGGTTTCACCATGTTGGCCAGGCTGGTCTCAAACTCCTGACCACAAGTGATCTGCCTGCCTCGGCCTCCTAAAGTGCTGGATTATAGGCGTGAGACACCGCACCCGGCCAAGACTGAGGTTTCTATCCAAGTGTTAGACACATACCCTGCCTAAATCTCCACCCCCACAGTGATGGCATCATCTGACTTCAGGCTAAAAGCTGCAAAAATGGGAAACTCAGCTAACGCCATCCTCCTCCCAAATGTAGACCCTTCCTGCTCCAGTTTCTGCCTGCTTTTGGTCACTCAAGTAGTTGGTTTTGGGGTTTTTTTTCTTTTTTCTTTTTTTAAGCTGGCAGCTGTTTTCTGTGGGAGAGTTAATTCCATCATTACTGGAAGCAGAATTTCATCAACTTTCCCTCTATTGATTCCCATTCTCTTGAAAAGCTATTTCCATGCAAATAAACCCAGCTTTGGCTGCCTGTTATCCAAAATGTGGACACCAAGCATATATTTTGAATTTTTTTTTTTTTTTTTTTGAGACAGAGTCTCGCTCTGTGGTCCAGGCTGGAGTGCAGTGGCATGCTCTTGGCTCACTGCAACCCCAGCCTCCTGGGTTTAAGCGATTCTCCTGCCTCAGCGTCCCGAGTAGCTGGGACTATAGGCACCCGCCACCACGCCTGGCTAATTTTTTTTTTGTAATTTTAGTAGAGACGGGGTTTCACCGTGTTAGCCAGGATGGTCTCAATCTCCTGACCTCATGATCCACCCACCTTGGCCTCCCAAAGTGCTGGGATTACAGGTGTGAGCCACAGCGCCTGGCCTGAAATCTTAAAAGCTGTTTCATATCATTTTAAAAATCAATAACAATGTCTTAAAAGCATAACTCAATTAGGGACAAAACATCACAATCTACTTTATAGCACTATGGAAAAGCCTGCATGAAATGTTACTGTGTCCCTTCAGTTTAGGGCATGTGAGTTGAGGCTTGGTCATTACAACTGGTTTTATCTCTTCCCTAAGCTCTATTTATGCTCCACAAAGTGATGTAATGATTGACCAGAAAAAGAAACATTTTAAGTTTCTTGCTATATGGGAAGCAAAAGAAATATGAGATTAATTCTGTAAACCAGGTGTCTATTGAATCAATATCTTCTCTAGCTGCCTTATGAAAAAAAGTTGTCAGGTTGCAGAATGGAAAATTATAATTCTGAGATTTGGGGGTTAATAAGGGATTTGTTTATGTTTTATTGACTGGCTCAACAAAAATTTGTTAGACCCCTACTGAATATTATTTAATTTAGTCTATCTAATGAAAGCTAATTTAGTATTCTGTGGATTACAGATTAGCTGGTATATTATGCTTTCATTCATCAATAAATTAATATATTTTATTAATGTAATTAAGTTAATGTAAGAATGAATCAATGAAATAACTTAATCCATCATTAAATTCCTACTGCTTATCCAAAGTACTAGAAGATCTTGGAACACCTTCTGCAGTATTAGGTTGATTAAGTTTTCCCAGAATAGTTTTAACATCAATTATATCTTGTATAGTGGTATTTGAAAACCAGGAGTCTATGTGTATATGTATTGCTTCCCTTAAGGAATTGTGTAGATTCTCTTTTTCATTAGTTAGTTTCACAATTAAAGACTTATGTAAATTACACATGATCCCTCCAAGGGGCCATCACTCAGTGAAGTGCTTTTGACCAGCCGTATGATTTTTTTTTTTTTTTTTGAGACAGAGTCTCTATCACCCAGGCTGGAGTGCAGTGGCACAGTCTTGGCTCACTGCAACCTCTGCCTCCTGGATTCAAGCGATTCTCCTGCCTCAGCCTCCTGAGTAGCTGGGATTACAGGCATGCACCACTACGCCCAGCTAATTTTTGTGTTTTTCTTAGAGACAGAGTTTTACCATGTTGGCCAGGCTAGTCTCGAACTCCTGACCTCGAGTGATCTGCCCGCCTTGGCTTCCCAAAGTGCTGGGATTACAGGTGTGAGCCACTGTGCCTGGCCTCCAGCTGTATGATTTTAAATCATTGCTCATTCCTGCAAATGGGTCTCCAGCCTCATCTCTGAACCCCTTCCCTAGCTGGCATTTCTTGCCCTGTACCCCCTGTCTCTGTAGTCTGCTAGTCAGGACCCTCAATCACTTTGTGCCATCTCGTGTCTCTCCCTTCCTTTCCCTACTTCAGATGCTATCTTTTCTCTCCCAGCTTTTCTTTGTACTCACTCTTTCCTGAGAAAAACTTTCTTTTGGGTTTCTTTACGTAATAATTCTTAGACGAAGATTTCTGAATTCTCTTTTTTTTTTTTTTTTTTGAGACAGAGTCTTGCCTTGTTGCCCAGGCTGGAGTGCAGTGGCGCAATCTCGGCTCACTGCAAGCTCCGCCTCCCGGGTTCACGCCATTCTCCTGCCTCAGCCTCCCGAGTATCTGGGACTACAGGCGCCCGCCACCACGCCCAGCTAATATTTTGTATTTTTAGTAGAGACGGGGATTCACCGTGTTAATCAGGATGGTCTCGATCTCCTGACCTCATGATCTGCCCACCTTGGCCTCCCAAAGTGCTGGGATTACAGGCGTGAGCCACTGCGCCCGGCATTTTTTTTTTTTTTTTTTTTTTTTTGAGACAGAGTCTCGCTCTGTCCCCCAGGCTGGAGTCTGGAGTGCAGTGACGCGATCTCCACTCACTGAAACCTCTGCCTTCTGGGTTCAAGTGATTCTCTTGCCTCAGCCTCCCAACTAGCTGGGATTATAAGTGCACGCCACCATGACTGGCTAATTTTTGTAGTTTTAGTAGAGATGGGGTTTCACCAATGTTGGCCAGGCTGGTCTTGAACTCCTGACCTCAGGTGGTCCGCCTGCCTGGCCTCCCAAAGTGCTGGGATTACAGGTGTGAGCCACTGTGCCTGGCCAGATTTCTTAATTTTATCAGAGGATTCCAATGGTCCTAATGGCTCAGGAACCTGCACTTTTTTTCGTGGGCTACAAGCTTGTGCGGTCGTATGGCAACCTACCTTATAAAAGCCGTCACTTGGCTTAATGCTCGGCTGTCACCCTCTAGAAATGCTTAATCATTTGGTGACAGAGGGTCACAGATTTCCATGTTGCACTGGACCTCACAACCTGGGTAGCCAGCCTGGCATTGGAGAGGAATGCTCATGGCATGGGGTTAGGAGGGGTGCAATTCACTGTGGAGCAAAAGGGCAGAATCGGGGCTGATGATGAAGTTGCCGGGGTGGGGACCCAGGAGGTTAGAGAAGGAAAAAAGAGGGGTCATTTTTAGCAGTGCTCACTTTTCCCCTGGAAGTCTCCTTGAATTGCAGGGCTAGGTTTGGGGCGGGGCATGGTGGTAGACTTCTTAGAAATCAATCAGGCAGGAAAATGGTCAAATGGTCACAGTCAATTCTGATCTGGTCTTAAGGAATTTCTGCCAAATTCCAGAAAAGAAATCTGTCTCTAAAAATAGATGGATTCTAAAAGTTGTGCTGTAGAATTTATACACTGGTTCATCTCTTCTGTTTAAACAGATAACCCAATGTAAAAGGATAGACAAGATTATCCCAGGAAAGCCATGACAAATCTTGTCCTGACATGGTACTTTATATGGATGTTGGCTAGAAGGAGATGTTATGGTGGCAGCTCATGAAAGAAATCCTGGAGGAGTAAACTAGGAAGGGGACTGTGATGTAGTTCTGTTGAAGGGATGATAGGATGCTGCCCAGGCCCAGCCAGGGGATATGCACTGAGATTCATCTGTGAGAAAAAAGATGTGAGATAATTACAAACTGTCCCGGGGAGAAAAGTGTCTGTTTATCCCAATAGAAAGGTTTTTGTAATGATCAGTACAATAGAAAGAGAGGCAGGGTTTAGATGACAAATTCATGCCTGTTTGCTTTTCATTCATTGTTTCACTGGCTCTCAATAAATGTAAAATAATAAAAGTCCATTAGGTAAACCATTTCAAGCAGACTAGATTCCTATATATTCATAGAATTCAGACAATAGCATTTGAAGGTCCTTTACTGATGTTCTACTTTATTTTATTTTAAAATTTTTGTTTATTATTATTATTATTTTTGAGACGGGGTCTCCCTCTGTCACCCAGCTGGAGTGCAGTGACATGATCATGGCTCACCTCAGCCTCAACCTCCTGGGCTCAAGGAATCCTCCTGCCTTAGCCTCCCAAGTAGCTGGGACTACAGGCTAATGCCATCATGCTTGGCTAATTTTGGGGGTATTTTTTATTTTAGAGGGTATTTTTATTTTAGAGGGGTATTTTTATTTTAGAGTCGCCCAGACTGGTCTCGAACTCCTGGGCTCAAGCGATCCTCCCACCTCAGCCTCCTAAAGTTCTGAGACTATAGGCGTGGACCAGCCCAATGTGATTTTTTTAAAAAACATAGAACTGACTACTTTTAAACAGAATTAACTTCAAAACATAGTTTTGAAAGGGAAACTAAGAAATATATAATTTATATATGTAAAATTCAACTCTGCCTCAGTGCATTTTTTTTTCTTGTTTGTTGGGATTCTTCAGGAGCAGTGGGCACTTGTAGGCAATTCTATATTTTGCTAATGATCACTTTGGTAAATCTTGCAATTCAGCCATTTTTTCTGCAGTTCTATTTCCATTTTTTTTTTTTTTTTTTAGCATCAGTAGAGAAGTGAGGCATAGTGAACTGCATAAGCATGTCTTAATGTTGTATATGGGACATAAAGTGCTTACTTTAGGTGAAACTGCTGAAGTGAGCAAGAGAAATACATTTTGCATGTTTTCTTAAAAGTCTTGATTCTTGCCCCGAGATCTAAGTATGGAGAACAGGAAATTCTTCAGTGAAGGAAACTCCTACTTTACACAGCATCCTGTGGAAGGAGATAAAGCTCTATCAAAGTTTCACGTGATAAATATTGTTCATTTGTTGTGTAACATCAAAAAAGATATATCCATTTTCATGTATCTCAAGTTGAAAGTGTGTTTGCAGTTTTGTGATTTACACGGTTTTTTAGTATTAATACTTGATTTTAAAAAGTAAATGTAAAAATCATGTTTTTTTTCTAAATTTATATCATATTATGCCATATATAATAACAATAAATTTTAAAAATTATTTTTATGGGCCAGGCGTGGTGGCTCACGCTGTAATCCCAGCACTTTGGGAGGCCGAGGCATGCAGATCATGAGGTCAGGAGATCAAGACCATCCTGGCTAACATGGTGAAACCCCACCTCTACTAAAAATACAAAAAAATTAGCCGGGCGTGGTGGTGGGTGCCTGTAGTCCCAGCTACTCGGGAGGCTGGGGCAGGAGAATGGCTGGAACCCGGGAGGCGGAGCTTGCAGTGAGCTGAGATGGTGTCACTGCACTCCAGCCTGGGCGACAGAGCGAGTCTTCATCTCAAAAAAAAATATATATATATATATTAAATATATATATATTATATATGTTATATATATATTAAATATATATATAATATATATATAATATATATATAATATATATTATATATATTATATATATTAAATATATAATATATATTATATATATTATATATATTAAATATATAATATATATTATATATATAAATTACATATATTTATATAATTTATATATTATATATATTATATATTTATACAATTTATATTTATAATATATATAAATTATATATAATTTATATTTATGTAATTTATATTTTTATAACATGTATTATATAAATATAAATTTTATATATATAGTATATATATACTTTTTATGTCCGTGGTTAATATTTGGTTCCACTTAGAAAGTTAAACTCCTTTAAACATCTTAAATTGCTTTCATATTTATAAATTTTATATATTTAGTTTTCTTTCTAAATCCTTCAAGTTTTTAATACCACAACTTTCCTGAGACTTGTAATATAAAGCTAATATATATATAACATATTTATAAGCATTTATGTAAATTTTAATTCTCCTAAGCTTTTCAGTACTGTTTACAAATTTGGTTTTATTGTGTCAACTTAAAAGCATGAGTCTAAATCTATTAGTCATACCAAATTGTTTCATTTTATTTTATTTTATAGAGATGGGGTCTTGCTGTATTGCCCAGGCTGGTCTCAAACGACTAGGCTCAAGCGATCCTCCCACCTCAACCTCCCAAAGTGCTGGGATTACAGGTGTAAGCCACCATACACAGTTCTCAAATTATTTTATACAATACAAACATTTAAAATATAAATCATGCACAAAACTATTCCCTATATTAACACACAAATAATACTGTGAGTTTGATTTAGTTAATCATCTTTAGACTTGACTCGGATCTAACCTTGCCTGGGGTTAAAATATATTTACCCACCAAAGAACCAATTACAGTATCCCACGTTCATTTCATTTATCTTTCTAAGAAGTTTACAAATACTTCCCAAGGAAGTTGGGGTTTCCATTCCTAGTGCATTGGGGTTACCTTCTCAGAGACTGAGTAGCACATAAACTGGAAAGACCCATCTGGGTAGGAAAGATAGAGCTATGGGCCGGGTGCAGTGGCTCACGCCTGTAATCCCAACACTTTGGGAGATCAAGGCAGGTGGATCACCTGAGGTCAGGAGTTTGAGACTAGCCTGGCCATATGGTGAAACCCCATCTCTGCTAAAAATATAAAAAAGTTAGCTGGGCGTGATGGTGGGCGCCTGTAATCCCAGCTACTTGGGAGCCTGAGGCAGAAGAATTGCTTGAACCCAGGAGGGGGAGGTTGCAGTGACCTGAGATCGCGCCACTGCACTCCAGCCTGGGCAACAAGAGCGAAACTCCATCTCAAAAAAAAAAAAAAAAAAAAACCAGCAAAACAAAAAACAAACAAGGAAACAAACAGAAAGAAAGAGCTATGGACTTCCAGCATAACTATTCTCACGAATAGACTGCTGTATTGACCTTTTTATAATAATTGTGGCTTATACCAACCATGGACTCCAAGTCTGTGTCTTCTGCCCTAAGCCCTTGAATTCACGCCTACCCTTCGTAGTTACTCTCAATTATATCTTCTGGTTAAGGCAAATGACGTCCTGTGACCTTCCTTCCAAACCCTAATTCTGATCTCCCTCTTTGTGCCACTCTCTCGTTGGATTCAACCAATCTGTTAAATGCTTATTTCTACTCTGATTTTTTTTTCTTTTTATAGAGACAGGGTTTCACTCTGTCCCCCAGGCGAGGATGCAGATGTGTGATCCTCGCTCACTGCAGCCTTGAACTCCTGGGCTCAAGCGATCTACCTGCCTCAGCCTTCCAAGGAGCTGGAACTACAGGTGTGCTCAACCACGGCTAATTTTTAAAATTTCTTTGTAGAGATGGGGTGTCGTTAATGTTGTCCAGGCTGGTCTCAAACTCCTGGCCTCAAGTGGTCCTCCTACTTTGGCCTTCCAAAGTGTTGGGATGACAGGCGTGAGCCATTGCACCCAGCCTCACCTCTGTATTCTTTTTACATTCTATCTTCCTGTCTAGCAGA
Organism: Homo sapiens; assembly: GCF_000001405.40. Taxonomy (NCBI): domain Eukaryota; kingdom Metazoa; phylum Chordata; class Mammalia; order Primates; family Hominidae; genus Homo; species Homo sapiens. Next base: position 14,627,447 of record NC_000010.11, on the reverse strand, counting down.
GCTGCTATTTTAACAGATATTTGCATGATTTTAACAGGTATTTGCATGACACCCTTTAGATTCCGCTGATCTCCTCCTGTCTGTTTATCCATATGGTCCGTTTCTAAAACCATTCTAATGATAATATTCTGAATATAACGTTAAATAGCTTGGGATGGAGAAAATTAGGACTGTGACGAAAGTATGTTTTGGTAGAATCAGATTGCAATACTTTAAGAATTAATAACATCTATTTAGGAAATTTTCCTTTTTAATCTTATGACCACAATTTAGACTGCTGTTCAAACCATGGTAATTTACCTAAATTGCCCTGGGGTAATTGGTGCCTAGCAGGAACTAGGTCCACCAGTGTCTGTCTTGTAAATAACCTGTTTGAAGCTCACCTTCAGGTTATGGTCATATCTAATTAAGAGCATCCGGAGAGGTAAGAGATGTTGATGAGAAGAGGGAACATAGCCATTTGGTGCAGAAGCAAATCCAGATAATAAATGAGGATTTAAATCCAGATGTCCAAAAGATAGAAAGAGGTACAAACAGATCAGGTGGGTGCAGATAAAACACTAAATCAGAGGCCATCGACAATGTGCTCCATAGTACTTTTTATGCAAGGCCAAAGAGCTTTGCTGAGATACACGGAGTCTCTTAAAGGAACCAAGCAGCACAAGACAACTAATACTATAAAATGATCCATCTCAGGCGGGCAGATCACGAGGTCAGGAGATCGAGACCATCCTGGCTAACACGGTGAAACCCCATCTCTACTAAAAATACAAAAAATTAGCCGGGTGTGGTGGCGGGCGCCTGTAGTCCCGGCTACTTGGGAGGCTGAGGCAGGAGAATGGCGTGAACCCGGAAGGCGGAGCTTGCAGTGAGTCGAGCTCACGCCACTGCACTCCAGCCTGGGCGACAGAGCGAGACTCTGTCTCAAAAAAAAAAAAAGAAAAAAAAGATCCGCCTCAAATTCCACAGTTTGTTTCTGTGAAAGTCAGGTCCTGTGATAACTAACAACCCAAATGAGAAACCAAACAGCAGAAGTATTGTGAGAGAGTATGCTCTTTTGCACCTAAATTCCAACATTTCCGGCTCTTAGACAATTGCACAGTCTGACTGAAAACTGTAAAATTTCCTTCAAATATAGACCAGCATTGTTTTTATTGTTTATGTGATGAATCGTATATTGAAGACAGAGGAGAAGGGAGCAATCTCAGTGAACTCATGCTATATGAAGAGAGTCCTCTGTAAATCCCAGGCGACCCAGGGGCTGGCAGTGATCAGCAGTGACCAGCCTTCAACGGAGTAAATAAAATCATTACCATAAGAGAAGATGGCTTTTCTCTCCTCTGCTTTGCCAGCTTCAAAACAACCACGGTCTTAAAAGAGTCCCAAGTGTACCGGGGTGGGGGGACCCAGTATCCCAAGCCTCCCCTTGGCTCTAATGAGGAAGGAGGATGTGCTTTGCTTTGATGTACAAAGCTGTATGTTCTCTAACGATGTAGGCAACAGATCAGATTCCATTACGACTTCTCCTTTTAAGCCTTGATTATTCAGCAGCCCTGTTGAAATTAGCTTTTTTTTTTTTAATCCATGAGCAGCTGCATGGAGGTCGGATGGTTTTGCTTGTTGTGTTGTACTGAATCTGTCTAGGCCAAAGTACTCTTGAATATTTATTTAATTCAGTTATTCTTCTGTGCCACTTTTTTTTTCCTTCTAAGCAATAGCACTGGACTCTGAAACCACGAGAATTTCACCATAAAAATGACCAAGAAATTTGATTTGGATTGTAAAACGCAGCTCAGTTCTAACAAGAGATAAATCCTTCTGTCTCTTCTGCCTGTTTCTCTTGCACGCGACATTAATGCCTATTTTGGCACACCATGTCACAGCTGCCAGGCAGAGCTGGGCCCTCCTGTTTCCCTGTTCTTATGAGCTCCCTGCAGAGCAGCCAGGACAGTTGTACTCATGGCTGTCAGGCCCTGGCTGGAGCAGTTACAAAGGCTTCATCTCAGAGCAGGGGGCAGGCTCTGCTCATTGTTCTGGAGAGGTGTTTGGGACTAGATGAGGCGTCATCAGAGAGTCAAAGAAGATGAAACGAAGGATGACTCTGAGACAAAGCAGAGATTTCATGGCAGGTTGAAAAATTCCCAGGGCTGGGAGGGATACACACACATACACACACACACACACACACGCACGCACACGACATTCCTTTTTTTTTTTTTTTTCTGAGACAGTCTTACTCTGTCACCCAGGCTGGACTGCAGTGGTGCCAACTTGGCTCACTGCAACCTCTGTTTCCCCGAGTTTAAGCAATTCTCCTGCCTCAGCCTCCCAAGTAGCTGGAATTACAGGTGCATGCCACCATGCCTGGTTAATTTTTGTATTTTTAGTAGAGACGGGATTTCACCATGTTGGCCAGGCTGGTCTCAAACTCCTGACCTCAAGTGATCCACCTGCCTAGGCCTCCCAAAATGCCAGGATTACAGGCGTGAGCCACCACGCCCGGCCACACATGACATTCTGATCAACAAAACTATTGTCATCCACCTAGATCAGTGGATTACCAGAGTTCTTACCCTTGAATATCTACTGATCTGGAGAAAGGAACTTCCTTATGTATGTGCTTCTGCTTCTCAGACCTCTGTATTATTGATTTAACAGCTCCACCCACTCTGTTTTTCTTTTCTTGCGTTTGCCAGCTGCTTTAGTTATTTTATGACATTTGTCATGAGTGCAGCTTGTTATGCTCAAATACGAAAACGGACTCAGGGACGTTCAAGTTCTTTGGGAGTTGACCCTCAAGTCTTTTTTTTTTGAAACGGAGTCTTGCTCTGTCATCCAGGCTGGTGTGCACCGGCAGGATCTCTGTATATTGCAACCTCAAACTCCTGGGTTCAAGCAATTCTCCTGCCTCAGCCTCCCGAGTAGCTAGGATTACAGGCGCACACCACCACACCTGGCGTATTTTTGTATTTTTAGCAGAGATGGGGTTTCACCGTTTTGGCCAGCTGGTGTCCAATTCCTGACCTCAAATGATCCACCCTCCTCAGCCTCCCAGAAGTGCTGAGACTCCCTCAAGTTCTTTTGATTTTGAGATGGGGCAGGATAGACAAAGCCGTGACCCAGTGGAAACTGGCTTGGCCATTTCTTCTCCAGCTTTTCCCACCAGCCTTGGAACAGCTTCCACACTTCTCACGTCTTCTGATGGCTTTCATGGTTTTATTCACCATCCTTATAGCCACTCCATTGTTTGTATAGTTAATAGATCTCTTTCAAAGCCTCTAGTGGTTTTTTAATGATCCTCTGTGGGTTTTGTGAATTGGGCACCAGCTTCCCTCACCTGCCTCTCCATTGTTTTATGTTTGCTAGGAGCCCTTTAGGGGTCAGTACGGTGGTTGCTGATGACACAACTGATATATTGTGATGCTCCATTCTTCAGGAGAAGGCTTTGTAACAAATGTTGGCATGTTCATTAAAATAGTGGTGTCTTCACCAGTGTTCAGTGTTGACGTTGAGAAAGATGAGTTTGACATTCTCATTGAGCGACAGAAAAATTAAGGAAAATGAGTTGTTTCATATGCCTTTAAGATACATAGCCCAAGTGTGAGCGATTTACTTATCTATTTAAGACAGAGTCCCCGTCTGTCCCCCAGGCTGGAGTGCAGTGGGCGATCTCAGCTCACTGCGGCCTCCTCCTCCCAGGTTCAAGCAATTCTCATGCCTCAGCCTCCTGAGTAGCTGGGATTACAGACCTGCACTACCACGCCCAGCTAATTTTTATATTTTTAGTAGAGATGGGGTTTCACCATGTTGGCCAGGCTGGTCTCAAACCCCTGGCCTCATGTGATCTGCCCACCTTGGCCTCCCAAAATGCTGGGATTACGGGCGTAAGCCACCACGCTGACCCAGTTTTGAGCTAGTTAGCTTGACGCCTGAGCTCTCCCGACTCCTCCTCTGAATATGTGTGCTTCCTTTGTGCCCATCTCAGCTCTCTGTGTTGGTCACTCTCCTTTGAATGTCTGTACCTTTTCTGCAGTAGATGTTTTACCAGATCTTTATTTAGCCACAGTTGGGATTAACTGTCACCTAAATTCCTGATGAAAGATGCACAGGGTGAGTCTTGTGGCCTGCTGGACTTTTGCAGGTGATAAGCTGTCCTCCACCTACTTCTGTGTCTACTGATTGAGTTGTTTGCTTAAGAAGAATAAGGTGCGTTTGCCTTATTGCTTTATTGCGTTGTTGTGCTAGTTGTTATTTTAATACTGTTGTATAATTAAATATTAAATCAACAAAAGATGAACACCAAAAGAAAGAGGGTTGTGATAATCAAAATCAAGTCAATTGCTTTGACAAGAATGAACATGAGCAGCTTAAAACAAAATGCTGTCAAATTAGGTGTGGGTAAGAGAATTGTATCAGATGGATAAACTAGTATCAGTCAAGAAGGATGCTTTACTCAGGTTGCTTTGCAATTCTCTCCACATTCCTGTTCCCCTTTGAAGAGGCAAACTAGAAATTGTGTAGTTAATGAATGCATTAGGAGTGTGGTGATTTCTACAGGAAAGAAATCCCTGTGATTTCTACAGGGAACTCCAATCAGAAGATTTATGTTTAAAGGAAAACTGTGAGCCTGCAGTCAAATAAACTGGGACACAAATGCTCAACATATGTTTATGTTAAATTAAGTGTTTAGGGCATACATTATGTTTCTGTAATTTCCTGTTCTGATTAACTGACCATGTACTTGAACCAAAATAGCCAATAAGAGTGTGTCTAGTGTACGGAAGCTTTAATGTGCTGCTTAGATGCCTTCTCTTCCAGGAAGCTTTCTGACTTTCTCTCTCTGGCCTGGTTTAAGAATCTCATGCCTGTAATCCCAGCACTTTGGGAGGCCAAGGCGGGTGGATCACGAGGTCAGGAGTTCCAGACCAGCCTGGCCAACATAGTGAAACCCCGTCTCTACTAAAAATACAAAAATTAGCCAGGCATGGTGGCATGCACCTGTAGTCCCAGCTACTCGGGAGGTTGAGGCAGGAGAATCTCTGAACCAGGGAGGCAGAGGTTGCAGTGAGCCGAGATCACACCACTGCACCCCAGCCTGGGCAATACAGCGAGACTCCATCTCAAAAAAAAAAAAAAAAATCTCTCATACTAGCTCCCAGGTGCTTGTCCATCACAGCATTTATTGTATTATGTTTGCTCCAATGTCTGTCTCCTCTGCTAGGCTGTAAGTCTGCTGAGGGCAGTGACCTCATTTTTCATCTCCATATTCTTAGGTCCTGACATATTGCCTGGCCCCCGTTGGATGCATGGATGTTTATTGAATGAATATTGAAAGATGGACTTTATTAAATGTGTTGATGGAGAAGCCAAGATGAAAAGCCAGGAATGTTACTCCATGGAGAGACTGTGGAAAAGCTTTGTTGGTATAAGCGGTCATGTTTTGGGGTATTTAAGATGCATCTGATTAGTTGGAAGAGAAAAGACCTGGAATCACAGAGCAACTTGAACATATTTTATTGTTAGTGTTCATTGACTTGGCAGACCCTCTCTTAACTGCAAGGTACTTCTGTACATTTTTTTTTACTCTGAAGAATTTTTCCTTCCCTTTCTTTTTGCTCTCCAAGCGTTATACTCCGCTTTCAGCAGCTAACAAGCGAGCTGTGGAATGGGGCTGGTGCCACCCCACATCGGCTGGGAAGGCCTCAAAAAAAGCCAAATCCTGTTTCAAATCTTGTTTATGCTCCTTCCTCTCTTCCCCAGCTTCAAATCAACAGATGCTTCTAGTCTGGGAACCTAGGGGAGTTCTCAGGGCCATGTATCCTGTTTCTTTTAATAGAATTGCAGCCTGACTAAGGTAAAAATTAGTTTCCTTTTTATATTCTTTAATTCCTTGTCTTCACTCTTTAATCAAATGTCTTGTTTTAATTTTTCCTTGCCCTGTGGCGTTGGCTTATGTCTAGCCACAAAATGTCCCATTTCATATACGTTTTAAAAAGTGGACCACAGGAGGAAATATTTCATCCAAAGGGAATATTATAGTTTGAACACTTAAGATCTAGAATCAAAGAGTCTGCAGTAGGAGTCAGTCACAGAACACAAATAACAGGGCCACAGAATTTTTCTGTTAAACAGAAAAAGTAAGAAAGGAGTCTACATAATATAAACAGCAGTTTAATGTTGCTTTCAAAACATCGAAATGTGAAACCAAATCTCACTCTCCTCACTGGCTGTGGACATGCCTCTTCCCTGAAATTCCCTGAAAAGAATGCCAAATTTAAAAAAACAGAGAACCTAAGAAATAAAATGGTCTTTATTGCAAAAGTCATGATTATCTACATTAAAAATCCCAAAGAACTATTTAAAAAATGACTAAGAAATATAATATGTGAGTTTGTCAAGTTCATAAGATACAAGGTCAATCTGTGGGAATCAACTGTATTTTTAAATACAAGCAATAAATAATTGGAAATTGAAATTCTAAAAATGTATAATTTACAATAACATCAAAACCAAGAAATACTTAGGGATTACTTTAACAAAATGTATGTAAGGTTTGTATGCTGGAAAGTACAAAACATTGATAAGGAAATCGAACAAGACCTAAATAAATGGAGAGATATACTATGTTCATGTGTCAGAAGACTATATATTAAGACATCAGTTAAATGCGGCATGTTCTCACTCATAAGTGGGAGTTGAACAATAAGAACACATGGACACAGGGAGGGGAACATCACACACCAGGGCCTGTGGGGGGATGGCGGGCTGGGAGAGGGATAGCATTAGGAGAAATACCTAATGTAGTTGACGGGTTGATGGGTGCAGCAAACCAATATGGCACGTGTATACCTATGTAAGAAACCTGCATGTTCTGCACATGTATCCCAGAACTTAAATTATAATAATAAAAAAAATACAGTAAGCATTTTGAAAAAAATCAGCGTTATTCTAAAATGTATATGAAAGCAAAGGGCCTAGTACAACCAAAATAATTTTGGAGAACAACAAAGTTAGATGACTCACAAAACCTGAATTTTAGAGTTACTGTAAAGTAATACAAATAAGAAAGGGTGGTGTTGATGAAAGGTTAGATATACAGAGACATGGAACAGGATAGAAAATCCAGAAATAGGCCAAGCGCGGTGGCTCATGCCTGTAATCCCAGCACTTTGGGAGGCCAAGGTGGGCGGATCACGAGGTCGAGACATCGAGACCATCCTGGCCAACATGGTGAAACCCCGTCTCTACTAAAAATACAAAAATTAGCTGGGCATGGTGGCACGCGCCTGTAGTCCCAGCTACCCAGGAGGCTGAGGCAGGAGAATGGCTTGAACCTGGGAGCGGAGGTTTCAGTGAGCCGAGATTGTGCCACTGCACTCCAGCCTGGCGACAGAGCGAGACTCCATCTCAAAAAAAAAAAAAAAAAAAAAGAAAGAAAGAAAGTCCAGACGTAGATAGACACTTACACGGTCAACTGATTTGCAACAAAGCTACCAAGTTCATCAATGTATAAGACATAGTCCTTTCAAAAAGCAAACAATGGAACATCTGTATACTAATGAAAAAAAAAGAAATTCAACCTTTACACCATTGCCTAGCACCATATGAAAATATTAATTTGAAATACGTCATAGACCTAAATGTAAGAGCAAAAACTATAAAACTTCTAAAAGAAAACATAAGAGAATGTAATTGTGTGCTTAGCTTGGGCAAAGGTTTTTTTTTTTTTTTTTTTTTTTAGCTAGGACACAAACACAAATCGTAAAAGAAGGCATGGATAAATAAGCCTTCAAATTTAAAGTTTTTTCTTCTTCAAAATACATTGTTAAGGAAATAAAAAGAGAAGTCATAGATGGGGAGGAAATATTTAGAAAACACATGCCTGTAAAAGAACTCTTACAACTTATTAAGAAAATACACACAACCAATAAAAACTGGATAAAAGACTGGAACAGAAGCTTCGCTAAGGAAGATATATGGATGACAAATAGCACATGAAAAGGTGCTCAACATAATAAGCCATTAGAAAAATAAAAATTAAAACCACTCTTCACCTATTAGAATGGCTAAAATGAAAAACACTGCTAGTGTCGACTGCTGATGGATCATAGAACAACCAGGACTCTCATGCATTGCTGGTGGGAACGTCAATATGGGCACTTTGGGAAAAAGTGCCCATTAAGTGAAATGTACACCGACTGACCGTACTGCCTTATTTTCCTAGGGTTGCTGTAACAAAGTATCGCAAAGTGAGTGGCTTAAAACAACAGCAATTTATTTCTCGCACTTCTGGTGGCTACAAGTGTTGGATGAAGGGATCTACAGGCGGTGCTCCCTCTAAATCCCTCTGAAGCTCCCTCTGAAGGTTATAGGAGAGTTTCCTTCCTCATGTCTTCTAACCTCTGGTACTTGCTGGCAATCCTTGGCACCCTTTAGCTTATTGATACATCACTCCAATCTCTGCCCCTGTTGTCACAAGACCATCTTCTTCCTGCGTGTCTGTTTCTGTGTCTCGTCTCCTCTTATGAGGATACTTACCAGTCAGATTAAGGGCCACCGTACTCCAATATGACCTCATCTTAATTACATCATCTGCAGTGACTATTTTTTTTTTAAGCAGTCTCACTCTGTCGCCCAGGCTGGTACCCAATGGCATCATCTCGGCTCACTGCAACCTCTGTCTCCCGGGTTCAAGCGACTCTCCTGCCTCAACTTCCTGTGTAGCTGGGATAACAGGTTCACACCACCATGCCTGGCTAATGTTTGTATTTTTAGTAGACACGGGATTTCGCTATGTTGGCCAGGCTGGTCTTGAACTGCTGACCTCAAGTGATCCACCTGCCTTGGCCTCCCAAAGTGCTGGGATTACAGGCATGAGCCACCAAGCCCGGCCCGTAATGACTTATTTCCAAATAAGGTCACATTCGAAGACTGGAGATTAGGCCTCAACATCTTTTTGGGGGGCGTGGGGGCAAGGGACAGAATCCAACCCATAATACCATACAACCCGACAGTCCCACTCCTAGGTTTTTACCCAAGAGAAATGAAAACATATGACATATGTTCTCACACAGACCTGTGTGAGATGTTTATAACGGCTTTATTCATAGTCACCCCAAACTGCAAACAAGCCAAGTTCATCAACTGTAAATGGATAAACTGAGATAAACAATACAATGGAATACCACTTGGAAATAAAAAGAACGAATTACTGATACACCCAAGAACATAGAGAAATCTCAAAAGCGTCTTGTGAAGTGAAAGCAGCCCTGAAGGAGACTGAACTGTATAATACCCTTCATGTTGCATTCTGGAAAAGGGAGAACTATGGAGCAAAAATTGCAGAGACTGTGGGTGGGGAGGAGGGAACTCACCACAAGGGGACATGAGTCAACTTTTTTAGGTGGTGAAATATTCCCTATGATAATTGTGGAGGTGGTTACACAACTGTATTACATGAGTCAAAATTAATAGATCTGTAGACTAAAAAGAGTAAATCTTACTGTATATAAATTTCACTTCAAGAAGCTGGGTTTGGTGCTTCACGCCTGTAAACCCCACCTCCCAGCTTCAAGCAATTCGCCTGTCTCAGCCTCCCAAGTAGCTGGGAAAACAGGCATGCGCCACCATGGTAATTAGGCACCAAACTCTGGGTCATGGGCCTGTCTCAGGCCTTTTTTTTTTTTTTTTTTTGGCGTCTACCTGAAACTGTCTCTAGTTGTTTATTCTTTACTCCTGACCGGACAGCACCTTCCTAGATGCAGCAGTGTCCTTTCTTCCCTACCAGGACAGCTTGCTCTTGCTTTACATGTGTTGAAGCTCTGAGCACACAGTTTTACTTTTGTCTCTGCTCAAACACAGATAGCCACTTACGTGTTTCATCACTTCTAAGCAGCCATCAATTGTGAAATTAGGATATCTTAAGCTTCAGATGCCAGAATGTACAATTTTATGTTAAATCATATTCAGTTTAGACCATTTTTGAAAAGACAGTGTCTCCTGAGTGGCTTGACTCCTTGTGAGCAAGACCCAGGCTCTCCCTCACTTCCTGTTGCAAGTTTGAGAGACATGTATCCTCTCCAGGGATTAAAACCAGTAAGGCCCCCCTGCTCCACCTTCAAGTGCAAGCCCCTTCTCTTTGCAGATGCTTTTATCTTGATATGCAACAATTGCTAGCAAGGTGCAGAGCAGGAATTACACACAGGTCTCAACAGGAAAGGCTTGTTTCCTGAGTCTTTCATTCACAGTGAAAACCGGGGCATGATCTTCAAAAAAAACTGAAAATATCCCGAGTCAGTTAATTTCCTTTTCCTTTCCAGCCTCTTTATTTCCTTTTCTTCACTCCTGCTGCATTCTTGTCTGTAATTAGCTCTTCCTCTCGGTTCTCTTTCTTCTCTCTTTTCTCCTATTGCTCCTCTCCTTTTTCTTCTCTTCCTTATCCTTCTCTTATTCACCCACCTGCCTGCCTTATTTTTATTTTTACTTTCCTTACTCTCTCTCTCTCTCTTTTATTTTATTTTTATCTTTTTGAGACAGGGTCTCCCTGTGTCACCCAGGCTGGAGTACAGCGGCACAATCATGGCTCACTGCAGCCTTGACCTCCCAGGGCATCCTCCCACCTCAGCCTCTGAAGTAGCTGGGTCCACAGATATGTGCCATCACACCCAGCTAATTTTTGTATTTTTTGTGCAGAGGCAGGGTTTCCCCATGTTGCCCAGGCTGGTCTCCAACTCCTGGGCTCAAGCGATCTGCTTGCCTTGGCCTCCCACAGGGCTGGGATTACAGGCATAAGCCACTGAGTCCAGCCTCCTTACTCTCTCGAGTGTGCCTTTCATTATTGCTGTTCTTACTCTGTAAAGTTTTGTGTTCTCCAATATGCCTAGAAGAAAGTCTGCCACAAAATTGCCAATAATATACCCACTGGGTCTTTCCATTTTTTTATACCAGGCTGACCTAGGCAATGGAACAATACCTTTTATCCATTTCTTGGTGTGATTACAGCTCAGGCATATTCATTTTCAACCTCATTAATAGTCCCCTGGGCTTACTTTATGTCATCAGAAGAGGAGTGAGAATTATGGAAATCTCAGTAAAAACAATGCCCCTTGTCTTTTCATTTCTGTGGTGTTTTTGAAGCTCGAGTTTCCAGTAGCTCCATAGAACTGCTAATCAGATTTTTTCCTGTATATAAAACTGAGTCTTAAGAAGAGTCATTCCAACAAACATGCAACATGCCCTTAGTTCAGCTTTATCAAAATTTTCAATAAAGATACTCAGTTCAGTCATCCACAAGCAGGTCAATATTATTATTATTTTTTTAAAAAGCCACTGTCCTTAAGGCTCTTTATTTAACATAGCAGGGACATATCCAACCTCTTTTAGAAAGTTTTAAAATAATTGTTACAAAATGTTTGAAGGAATAAACTATTAAGGGAAGTTTTTGTGATTCTTTTATACAATTGGGAAGTATGCCTAAGTAATTCCGTCATATTTATTTTTAATTTAATTTGATAAATATCTATCTAGCTCTGATTATGAAGTACTTATTGTGCTAGGCACTAAAAAAGATTAAAACATTGATTCCTGCCTGCCTTCAAAGTTGACAAGGTAATTAGGGAACACATACAAAAAATTATTGCTTAGGACAAATAAGAAGTTTGTTAGCTTCTCGAGTATGGAATGGTGCTTTTTATTTAACTTACTCTGTTCCCAAATCTAGCTCACTCCTTTCCACACAGAGATACTTAATAAGTAATTTATAAATGCTCAGTGCTATTAAAAAATTAAATAAGCACTTGGTCTAGGTTATAAAAGTTAAGGAAGGCCTTGTGGCAGACCTAAGATTTGAACAGAAACTTAATGCATGGGCAAAACTTGGATCTGCTAACAGAGGGGAGGAAGAGCATTTCTGCCAGAGGGAACATCATGAATGAAGATTGGGAGGTGGAAGTGGGTGTATTTATGCCTCACAGGAAACTTGGCTAGAGTAGAGTTCACTTCAGCAAGGCCTAGGCTTAATGTCCAGAAGACCAAAAGATATCCATTAATTCTCTCCCTACAAGATCGTTCCTATCAGCTTATAGAAAATTATTTGTTTCTGCCTTTTTTTTTGTTTTTTTGAGATGGTGTCTCACTTTGTCACCCAGGCTGGAGTGCAGTGGCATGATCTCAGCTCACTGCAACCTTCACCTCCCAGGTTCAAGTGGTCCTCCTGCCTCAGCCTCCCAAGTAGCTGGGACTACAGGCACATGCCACCATGCCCAGCTAATTTTTGTATTTTTAGTAGAGATGAGTTTTCACTATATTGGACAGGCTGGTCTCGAACTCCTGACCTCAAGTGATCCACCCACCTCGGCCTCCCAAAGTGCTAGGATTACAGATGTGAACCACCACACCCAGCAGTTTCTGCCATTTTTAAAAACAAGCAAAACAGTGAAACAAAACCTTTCTTGGCCCTGGATTCCCCTCCGTCTACTACCCTTGACAAAGCTGCCTATACTAGCTGCCTCCAATTCCTCTTTTCCCATTATGTCTTGAAGCCACTCCAGCCAGGTCTTCACCCCTGCTGCTCCCCGAGTGATTCTTGGGTTGGTAAACAGTCCCTGTCTCGTGTAACCTGGTAGCAGCGTTTCACAAAGGTGCCCATCACATCCTCTCCTGCTTGAAACCCTGGTCTCACTTGGTTTCCAGGTTTCATTCATAGCTCCCTTGGGTCCCATTCACTTTCACTGGCCATTCCTTCTCTAAGTCTCTTTTTTTTTTTTTTTTTTTGAGACAGAGTCTCGCTTGCTGTGTCACCCAGGCTGGAGTGCAATGGCACGATCTTGGTTCACTGCAACCTCTGCCTCCTGGGTTCAAGCAATTCTCCTGTCTCAGTCTCCCGAGTAGCTGGGATTACAGGCATGCGCCACCATGCCTGGCTAATTTTTGTATTTTTAGTAGAGACTGGGTTTCACCATGTTGGTCAGGCTGATCTTGAACCCCTAACCTCAGGTGATCCACCTCCCTCAGCCTCCCAAAGTGCTGGGATTACAGGCGTGAGACACTGCACCTGACTCCTTCTCTGTCTCTTTTGCCAGTTCCCAGCAGCTCCCCGACCACTAAATGCCAGAGCGCCCTGGGCACAGGCCTCAGTTTCTCCCTTGGTGGTGAATGCAGGCTCCTGGCTTTCAGTATCACACACACACTGATGGCTTCTGATCGTGCTCAGAGCCTCTAAGAGCCCACAGGACCTCATGTGATCTGTGAACCTCCCAGGACAACGACTGTTTAGGGGGAAAGAAAGAAGCAAGTTCAAATTGTATTTATTTATTTATTGAGATGGAGTCTCACTCTGACGCCCAGGCTGGAATGCAGTGGCGCGATCTTGGCTCACTGCAACCTCTGCCTCCCACGTTCAAGCGATTCTTCTGTATCAGCCTCCCGAGTAGCTGGGACTACAGGCGCCCGCCAACACTCCTGACTAATTTTTGTATTTTTAGTAGAGATAGGGTTTCACCATGTTGCCCAGGCTGGTCTCGAACTGCTGACCTCAAGTGATCTGCCCTCCTCGGCCTCCCAAAGTGCTTGGATTACAGGTGTGAGCCACTGCCCCCAGCTGACTTTGAATTTTAATAAAAGAAAAGCCAGTCGTCCAGCTTTGAGGGAAAAGCGTTGTATAATTTGTTTTACTAGATTAGCCTAGCTGATGTGGCCTGTTTGTGAGATGACTTGAGTCATAGTGTATGCTTGTGTGGGGCAGACGGAAGGAAAGCAGTATTAGTGGATATGCACTCTGAGGATTGTGTGTCTGTGGGCCAGGCAGAATTTGATAGAGATGGAGAGAAAAATGTAGATTTGAGAGAAATGACAGAGAAAGCAATGTCTTGGTTTTGTCGCCAAAGTAGATGTAGGGCGTAAGTGAGGAAATTAAGATTATCTTGAAGTTTGTGCAGTGAAAAAACTGTCAGGTTAGTAAGGAGGCATGGGGTAAGTAAGGAAGTTCTGAGTAAGAAGAGAAGTTCTGCTTTTCATTAGTCACATGGATAAACTGTCTTTTAAAAGATTATGAATCTCTCCAAATCAAGCTAAGAATGGTCATGAGCAAATCATTCTTAAAATCAATTTCCGTACCACTAGGTTTCTATTGTTCTATGATAACATTTCAATTGCCAATTCAATTCATTGAAAGTTTATGGGCTCGGTGAGGTGGCTCACACCTGTAATCCTAGCACTTTGGGAGGCCAAGGCAGGCAGATCACTTGAGGTCAGGAGTTCGAGACCAGCCTGGCCAACGTGGTGAAACCTTGTCTCTCCTAAAAACACAAAAATTAACCGGCCATGGCGGTGCACGCTTGTCATCCTAGCTGCTCGCGGGGCTGAGGCAGGAGAATTGCTTGAACCTGGGAGGTGGAGGTTGCACTGAGCTGAGATTGCGCCGCTGCACTCTAGCCTGAGCGACAGAGTGAGACTCTGTCTCAAATAAATAAATAAAATTAAAAAAAGAAAGTTTACCTATTTCATCCTGAGTCACTTTGTAGCGACTTGTATTTTTCTAGGAATTTTTATTTCATCTGCATTTCCAGACAAAGTTGCTCATCATGGTTTTGTATGCTGTTTTTAGTTTTGGGGTATCTACAGTTATGTCTCCATTTTTATTCCCAGTCTTTTTTACTTGTTCTTTCTCTGTGTGTCTTTGTCTCTCAGCCTGTCACTTATCATTTTGGACAAAGGTCTGTTATTTTCTTTGGTCTGTCAAAGACAAGGACAGTTCTATCATATCTTTGTATTTCTTTATTTTGTCCTTGTAATTATTTGTGTATGAAATGATACAAATGATAGCAAATGGCTGAAGCAATTGTTGCAGAGAGAAATGAGCTGAGAAAAGCAGGTGCCTGTCAAAGTACAGTTTCCTGCAATGTGTGTTAGCTGTGGACTTAGAAAAAGGAGGCCACCAGAACAAGCTGGAATCTTGGACAGGGTAAGTAAGGAAGGACAGGGCAGGTTGTTCTGAGTGCTGATGGCAACTGAGAGACGAACAAGGAGAATTGCAAAACCTTTCCAGAAACTGCCCTCAGCTGCCCAAGGACTCTGTCCTTCCATCATGCATTCATTCTCTCTTTTTCCTTATAAAGTTCCAACTTTTATTAATATTATCCAGCTAACACTAACATTAGTTAGGATTTTAGTTCATGTTAAATTTGGTGGAACAAATAGAAGAATGTTATTACTTGAACAGCAGTTTTAAAAGTCCAGTAATCATTAGCAGTTCAAATGTGTGGGTCACACACTTCTCTAAGCAGAGTTAATAAGTAAACCTTCTCTGGCACGATTTAACATTAGCTGCAGTTTGAACTTTACTTCTAAGATTGGAGTGGATCACACAGCTCTCTCTTCCAGACAAGCCTGGGGAGCACAACAACTAAAGCTGGAACTTTTTATATAAATAAGGACTTATGTATATAACATGTATATATATTTATACTCATACATACACACACATACACATATACACACATGTATAAGGACATATAAATGTTTTATATGTATGAGGATATAAATATATAAATATATGTATTTTGTGGCTGAGAGTGACTCCCAGCTAATAACTAGCAAGGAAAAATTTATGCATATATATTTTTATACATATTTATAAATGAATGAGCTTAGAAGAGGACCTTGAGCTCCAGACGAGATGAACTATGAGCCCTGCCAAGATCTTGATTTTGATTTTGGGAGGCCTTCAGCAGAGAATGCAGCCGTGCCACTTCTGGACTACAGAAATAACTATGAATTCATTTACTGTTAAGTCCAGAGGAAACTGAAGCTTTGGATAAGTTTCTTATCCGAGGTCACCAGGCAGATCTCTTTAGTCCTAGCCTAGCCTTCCTTCCATTCTTCCATGAACTTATTTTATTGCAATTAATAGAAGTTAGGTGAATATATATATATATATATATATATATATATATATATATATATATAAAACTGGCATTCAACTAGTTATTAATAATATAAGCATTCCAAAGGATACTTCCCGCTAATGGAAATGTCTGTATCTAGAGCGAATATCAGAAAGAAGAAAAAAAAGTTGGAGCAAACTGTAGAATGTTCACAGAAATTTGGCCATTTGTATTGTATGTCAGTTATTTGAATTAGGAAATTTACAGAAATTATCTTCATATTGCTTAATTGCAGAGATGGTTTGTTTACTCATTAGTGTCGACCATTAAGTTACCTTAATATTTTTGACAGGATGAGCGCTTAAGGATTTTGTTCCCCTCTCTTTGCTATTTAGAGATTTTAGTTTTAATACACAGGAAGACTCTCAGGAAATCCTTTTTTCTGGTTTTGGATTCATGTAAAGAAAAAAACGTAAAATGCAGATCTTTGCATCATTCAGTAGTCGTTTATGTGAGTAACAGCTGTTTCTCTCGATTCTTCGCGATGTGCAGTTACAAGTTAGAACCACCATTTCATAGAGTCCCTTTGATTTTAAAATTGTGAACAATGAAAAGCAAGTGTTCTTTAAAAACGAAATTAAGTGTTTTAGGCAGTACATATATTAAATGTTTGGAAAATAAAACTCTCCTGAATTTTTAAACTCTCTAGAATTGGCAAAGTACTCAGTTACATTATGAAATACAGCTCTGTTTTGGAGCTTGCAAAATGCTTTTGTAGTGGATAACTACTGCAGGGGACAATACTCATCTTTACTGTTGGTGCTGTTAGCATATTTAATGAAGTAATTCCATTCCTGTGATCACAAATGCTCATGCACAGAGGCTCTTTTAATGAAACAGCTTATCATCTGGTTTCTAGCATGTTCTTTCAGATTTGGGCATATCATTTTGATCCTTCCTAAGTACTATTAATTTAAAAAGGTATGCATGTGCTATATTTGCTTGGCAAACCACACAACTTTTCACAAAGATTTTCCACAAATGAGTTCTCTAAGTCTCTTTATTGAAAGGCATTATCTTCCTGAGTTATGGAATATTACATTAACGTCATACAACAATTGTGCAAAACAGTTAAGCAAAATAAAGGGACTTCTGTTATATTTACATGATTATGCTATTTAAATGATAAAATTAGGATGCCATATTCTTTTTTATTTTTTTTTTGAAGTGGAGTCTTGCTCTGTCACCCAGGCTGGAGTGCAGTGGTGTGATCTTGGCTCACTGCAAGCTCTGCCTCCCGGGTTGATGCCATTCTCCTGCCTCAGCCTCCCGAGTAGCTGGGACTACAAGCGCCCATCACCATGCCTGGCTAATTTTTTGTATTTTTAGTAGAGATGGGGTTTCACCGTGTTAGCCAGGATGATCTCAATCTCCTGACCTCGTGATCCACCCGCCTCGGCCTCCGGAAGTGCTGGAATTACAGGCGTGAGCCACCGTGCCCGGCCTAGATGCCATATTCTTAACTTCGTTTTCCTTTCCCTATTGTTTTCAGTATTCAGGTCATCAGGGGTCAATGAAGACTTGGTAACCACTGAACGGACCATGTGGGAATTCGGTTATTACTCAATAAGAATTCCTTCTTAGGCCTGGTTCCTGGTTTACTGCTGAGCTCTGCATGTGATACCTCTCCAAGGTTTCCACCTTCTGCCTGCCCTCACATTCTATGTTTATATTAAAGAGCATCTGTCTGTTTGCCTGTCCTTCCATCTGTCATAGAATTCTAAGATAGCCTCCACAATTCCTGGCCTCTGGTATACACACAACTTCTCCAGTTATTCAGTCATACCCTAATCTAGCTATTGCTGTGATGGGATTTTGCAGATGTAAGGAAGGTCTCAAGTCAGTTACCTGTCAAGATAGGAAGATGATCTGGGTGTGCCTGACCTAATCACATGAGCACTTTAAGTCTGAGTCTAGAGCCCTAGATGGCCAAGTCAGAGATTGGAAGCATAGAAGGATTTGCTGAGACACTGCTGACTGGAAGATGGGGAGGGCCACATGATGAGGTTTCTGGGCAGCCTTTAGCCTTTAGCAGCTGAGAGTAGCTCTCAGCTGACAGCCAGCAAAGAAACTGGGTCCTCAGTCCTATAACCACAAAGAACTGAATTCTGCCAGCAATCTGAATGACCTTAGAAGAGGACCTTGAGCTCCAGACAAGATGAACTATGAGCCCTGCCAAGATCTTGATTTTGGCTTTGGGAGGCCTTCAGCATAGACCCCAGTCATGCCATTTCTGGACTAAAAAAAGGACGAGTCAATATGTGGGTGTTATAAGCCACTAAGTCTATGGTAAGATGTTATGCAGCAATAGGTATCTAAAACACTGATTTAGAACCCAATGCACCTTAGTTGCATTATAGTCCCAAAGCGTTTGTTGTTTTTTCTTTCCCCCATCTTTTTCTTATTTAAACCAAAAACAAATAAGCAGAAATTAACTATTTTCTTTGACCTATCAATTGAGGCCATGAGGCCAATACCAATGTATTGTATCTGTCTTTGTGGGTTTTATGTTGAATACCAAAGTGCTTTTGTCTTATCATCAGAAAGATTTCCCTTGAGACTATTGTTAGCACCTGTTACTTTGCCCTCCATTCTGTAGTTCCTCATGTCTGATTCAGAGGAAGATTATTTGCAAGGATGGTCACAAGAATTCCTCCTCTCCTAGTACAGCACTCAAGCCCTGTTGCAATATGACTACTGCTTCTACCATCAAGGGGGGTCTCTTTCTCCAAATCTTGGATTTGGGCTGACCTTGTGACATTTTTAATGGTAGAATGTACAGACTTCTATCATTCTTCTAGACCCATAACGCTAGAGCTCCAGGGGCCTTACCACTTCCTCTTTCGCCCTCCTGGACGGGGCTGTTGTGTGAGGAAGTCCTATCTAGCCTGCTGAGAGGCCATACAAGTGGATCTGAGATGCCTGAGCTGACAGCTGCCATCAACTTCTGGACTTTGAGACCACCCAGGGCAAGCCAGTCCCTGGCCAACCTCCCAGTTGACTGCAAACACATGACAGAGCCAAGCTAATGCCACATGGGGCAGAAATAAGATATCGCAGCTGAGCCTTGTCCAAATTGCCAACCCACAGTATTGTGAGCAAAGCATGTGTTTTTATTTTAAGCCACTAAAGTTTTGAGGCGATGTGTTATACAGTCATAGATAATTGACACAGAATGAGAGAGCGTGGCTTAAAAATAGGATTTTAAAATTAAGATTTTATTTCTTTTTGAATGGATTACGATTCAAATGTCCACGTACACAGTGCAAAATTTAAGATACAAAAGAGTATACATGTCAAAACAAATTTCCCTCCTTGAGGGCATTGTTAAGTTTTTCTCATCTCTTTGGAGCTCTTCAGCATGGTGGTTTGGGTGTAAAGTAACAATTTTAAGATTACGCATGAACAAAATGACCAAAGTAGACAATAAAAAAGCAACACGTCTTATTCCAGATTGATTTGCTTTGTATCATTTTACGTCCCCAAATAGTCATTTCTGCTTTGTTCGATTTTCCTTAGGGATGAATTTGCAAGATCTCCAGATGTCCAAGCTAAAGGATGAGGTCATAGTGGAGTATATGGGTGACCCTGTAGGTTGCTGCTCTGAAATGGAAAATTATTATGTATGTTTTCCAGTAATGCAAGATCAGAGAATCTATCACCAGTGATGGGTTAAATGACTCAGAAACCATTCAGCGGAGTGTTCCCTTTGTAATGTAAGGGAAATCAGTATTTGTATTGAAAGCAAATCAGTAAAGACCCTCTAAGCCACCTGATAAACTGTGTCAGCCCCAGAACAAAATCTTAAATACAGCCCAGCAGGCTATTTAGGCCACTAGTTCCCTTGACTTTTTCCAGAGTCCTGTCTACATTCAGAATGTGAAATCTACAGTATATCAGACTCGGGCTGAGGGTCTGGTGTTGCCTGTTATAACCCTGGGAAGTACGAGGCTTATTCATTCAACAAGCATCTATCACCCACAGAGTGATATGTTGCAGACACTGTGGTGGATGGTATGGATACAAATGGAAATATCACCATAGCTCATAACCTTTGAGTTTTTATTTCCTGGGATCCCCCCACAGTGGCTCCAGGGGTCCCAAACCAAATTGGATACTTGATCTTACCTGAATTAAAATCCCACTAAGATTCCCTAGGGATGTGAGATATTCAGCCTAAAAGAGCAGATTTAATATATTGATACTGGCCTCCTGTCTTTTATTTGAATTAATAAATTCAAAGTAAATATTTGCTCTTATTTGTTTTTGGTTTAAAAGAAATTATGGTACCTGGTGCAAAAGGTAGCATCGTGACTTTGAGCCTGTAGGCATTTATACCCCAGAGTATGGAACGAGCCTTTGTTTCTATTTCTCTCACGGGGCAGGGAAAAGACCGTGGTCACTTATCACATTCACACACTCTGCCTGTGGCCTTGCATCACAGATGTTTGTCCAGGCTACTTTGTATGGAGAAGTCAGGCTCACTGCTGGGATGGGATTTAGAATCTTGAATCCAATGCATCTTTGGTTAGAATCTCGAATCCAGTGCATGCTTTTTCTATTCATCTGATGGGGCTGCTGTAACAGAATACCCTAGACTGAGTGGCTTAAACAAGACATTTCATTTTCCCACAGTTCTGAAGGCTGGAAGTCCAAGATCAAGATGGCAGTAGGGTTGGTTTCTGGTGAGGCCTCTCTTTCTGGCTTGCAGTTGGCGGCCTTTTCATTGTGTCTTCATGTGGCCTCTTCTCTGTGTTTGGGCAGAGAAAGAGAGAGTGGGGAAAGGGACAGAGGGGAAGGAGGGAGGGAGAGAGGAAGAGAGAAGGAAGGAGGGATCTGGTGTCTCTGCCTCCTTATATAAGGCCACCAGACCTATGAGCTTAGGGTCCCACCCTTATGACCTTGTTTAACCTTAATTACCTCCCTATAGGTCCTGTCTCCAAATACAGTCACATTGGAGGTTAGGGCTTCAACATATGAATTATAGGGGTATGTGGTACACAGTTTAGTCCATAACACTTCCCATATGCCAGATATTACATTAGGCAAGAGGGTATAAAGATATGTATATATGTCAAGCATCAACTCTGGGCTCACAGAGGCACATATTTACGATACAGTGCAATAACGCCAATACCATGTCGGGTATGGGAGGGGCAGAAAAGATCCATTTAGTGTGAGCAGGTCAGGAAAGGGTTTCCAGAGAAGACTGATTCTCAGAGAGGAGAGGAGCTCTTGGGGATTGGTGAAGGTCTGCTAGGCAGAGGGGAAGCCCGTGGAAGAGCATGACAAGGCCATATATTCATTATTTCATCCAGTCTTCATCACAGAGCAGGGCCACTTAGCAAATACGGCACTCTGGCTGAGTGGAGCCTTGGATGTTTGCTGGGGAGCTTCGACTTGATCATGTAGCAGGAAGCAGGCATCCACTAAAGTGTTTCAAGCAGAGGAGGAAACTGAGCATCTTGCACCTGGAAAGTTCACTTGCACCCCAGAAAGTTGAGAGGAAAAGCATGTGTTAGACCAGAGGCTGGGGCCAGTTAGGAAACCCCTGCCACCATATTGTGACTGAGCCCAAAGGCAACAGTGGCGGTGCCAGCAGAGGGGGAGGGAGATAGCCAGGAATTGTGCACACTGCACAAACCTTGGAGTTGATGCCAATGTGGGGAGGGAGAGAGTTTAGGCTGGATCCTAGGTTTTGGTTTGGTGACTGGTGGAGCCATTGTTAAGAACAGAAACACAACTCAAGGACGAGAGAGAAGGAAGAATCATAGGAAACACCATGTATAAAGTTCATGGAATTCAGCTTCCTCAGCTGGGAAGGAGTTTCTTTAAGTTCTCTGGCAGGGATTCCACCCCTCAGTGGGTTCCAGGGACCCAGGGATGGCCAGACCCTTACTTGGCTGGCAGGCTGTGGCTTAGAGCATGGTGTGTGATAGGTATCTTTGGAATAAGTAATTTGTTTACCAAAATCCGTAACTGATGTGACTTTTCAGTATGACTATGACCCAAACTGTCTTAGTCAGAAAAATTTCCCCATAAATAAGCCCTTAGTCATCTGTTGCCAAGACAGTTAAAAAGCTTTTGATCTAAAATCCACGAACCTGTTGTCCTTTTTGCTACGCTGAAACCGATAACTGTTTCAGTCCCTGATTTTGTACCTGCTGTGATTCAAGTAGATTGTAATCTCAGAGCCTTAGGGTTGGCCAGAAAAGCACTTGTAAGAGAGCTGAAGAAAAGGAGATCAGAGAGCAAAGAGGCGGAATAAACCCTTTCTTTCTTGCATATTTAAATTTCCAATTACCCTTTGATGAAGGGAGGGGAGGAAAATGGGTGAATCTCCAGGTCACCGGGTTTTGGGTCCTGGCTTGACCGTAAATTTGTACAATTACAACAAATGTCTCCTTTTCCTCCCTGATTCTGTCTGCGTTTTCTTCCAAGAGGAACTGGCAGGATTTCTATGGGGACGGCCTCTTAGCATCGCAGACTTGCCGGGGAGACGGAGCCCGGACACCCAGGAGCGAGACGCTCTTGGGTACTTTGTGTGTGAGACAGAATAAGAGAGAGAGATGGGGGTGAGCACAGAGAGAGAAAGAGAATGAAAGAATGAGACAGAGGAGAGAGAAAGAATGAAAGAGAATGAGAATGAGGGAGAGAATGAGAGAAAGAGAGACAATGAGAGAGAAAGAGATTAAGGGAGAGAGAAAGAGATAAAAGAAGAGAGAATGTGTGTGTGAGAGAGACAGAGAGGTAGAGGGAGAGAGCGAGGGAACGAGGGAGTGAGAAAAAAGGAGAGTGAGCGCCCCGGAGCTTTGTGGCTGTGACCCACGCGGCCGCCTTCCCACTTTCCCGGTCATCCGGGGCCGCCGCGCTTTCCCTCCAGCCCTCGCTCCCACCGAGTCCCGGAGGCCGAGCGCTGCAGCCCCGGCTGGTGCCCCTCCCGGCGCGGATGCCCGGCCTTTCTGGATCTCCGCCCGACGCGCGCGAGCCGTGGAAGGAAGGCGGGGGCGGGGCTGCCAGGGCGGGGCGCGTTGGGGGCGTGGCCTTGCCGCCCCGCCCCTCCCCGCCCCGCCGCTTAATTCGGACGCGCGGGGCCGCGGGGAGCGAGAGCCGCCCTGCGCCGGACTGGCTTGCGGGCCGGGCCGCCGCCCCCGGAGCCGCCCTCGCGCCGCCTCGGGCCGCCGCCGAGCAGTCGGGCCGCTGGGCGCCGCCGCGGGCGCCGGGAGCGAGCTGGGAGGGAGCCGCGCGCCTTTGTGCGCGCGCCGAGGTAGGTTCGCCTCCCGCACTTACTTTCCACACAAAGACGAGGGGCGCGGGGAGGCGGGCGGCGGCCCTGCCCGACCCCGGCTCCGGGGACCCTCTCGGCGGGCGGGCGGCCGGGCGGGTGGGGGGTCCCCGTGCGCGGGAGGGCAGCGGGCGTACGGGGACCACGGGTCACCCCGCGCGGCGCCCGGGAGGTGCCGGGGCTCAGGGCGGGCACGCGGCGGGGCCGTGCGGGGGGCGCCGCGGAGGCGGGGGCCGCTGCGGGGAAGGGGCCCAGCGGCCGCCCGGCTCATTGTTGCCTTCTCGGCGCTGCCGCGGGGGAGCCCTACCCGGCGCGGTGTGCACTGCCTGGCCGTGTGCGCCGTATGCCCGCCCTCGGCGCCCCTCGCCCCGCGGCGCCCGGCGTGGACCGGGTCGCGCCCCGACGCCAGCCCCCGCCAGGCAGACAAAGCCGGGGCCGGGGAGGTTTGCCCCGCGCCGACGGTGGCCGTGACACTGACTCCAGTCTGCAAGTAACTTTTCCTCTTTTGCCTCTTCTCTTTCTCCCCTGTTCCAGTGAACCCAGCATATGGGGTGGTGTAACACACACAAGGAGTCCTAATTCAATTTGGGTTCCGTAATTTCCCCCAGGCATCTTTAGGTCCCTTGGAGGTGGCACTGATGGGTATGGCCAAGTGTTAGTGTTATGTAGGGGATGGTGTCCACCACTTGTGAAATCTGCAAGAGGAATTAGGTTGAGAGGGTAAACTGTAGATTTCATTCTCTGCTGCAAGGTACCAAGCCTGCTTCCTTCCTCCCTCCCAAAGATTTTAGGCAATGACAGCGGAGCAAAGTTACTTGATAGGATGGGTGCGATTTTGAGGGGTCAAAGAAAAACGGAATGAGGGCTGTTGGACTTCACATTCTTAAACTTGCGATTTCTTGCTATCAAGTACATCGGTTTTCTCCTCCAGCCACGTTTTCCTAACATCACTTTGGAAATTCTATCTATCCAAGTGGCTTTAAGTTGAAATAGTGTCTGGGCTACCTGTCCAGAGAAGATTTCTTAGCGCTGCTGGTTTCCGGTTTAAAACTTTTCATGAGAAAATTTTATATATTAATTAAAAAATTGAAAATATATAGAAAAAAACCACTCATATGCTCACCACCCAAACACACCCTAAGGATGAAGGCATCTTTGCTTAATTTATGACTTGGCAGCCATAGTGTGTTTGTGTGTGTGTGTGTGTGTGTGTGTGTGTGTGGGAAAGAGGGTGGGGTGGTAAATGAGAGCATTACTGACCAGCCACATCAGCCTAAAATATATTTAATCATGATAATTCTACAATATTGGTATGCCACTTACATCCAAGATTAATACGGACAAGTTGTTTTGAAATATATTTTCTTATAGGTTTGCATATAACCACCTGTACAGAAGGGAGAAGAAAGAAACAGGAAAAACAATGTAAATTTCCACTTTATTTGGAAGAATGGGCTGACAAAAAAGTTTCATGGACTATATTTTTGAATTCAGGAGTCATTTGGGATTGACTTTTGTCTTTAAATGAAATCTTTAAGCTTTAAAAATATTTTAAAGGTAACATTGTGTTCTGAGATTCATAAGAAATATGTGATGGAAAGGAATTCTTGTTTGTGGAACAAGGAATAGCAGTGATTGTACAACCGGGTGCATGCTGGCTTCTTAAAGACCTTGCACTGAGAAAGTAAAATAAGGGTTTTCCTGAGAATCGTGAGTTGTGTTGAGTGTGTATGTTCTTTTAAAATAAAATCGTTCTTTAGCCACAGATTTGGCCACTGGACGCTTTTGTCATTACATACTTTTATTTTCCTCTTGTAACATTTTTGGACTTTTGAATTCTCTAATATGCAAAATAGAGGTCTTTGAGACAACCGTTTAGAAGTAGGTTGATCATTAGGATGATGCAATACATTTTGAAGTTAGAAGAATCTACAAGAAGGAAGTTGTGGCTGTGTCCACTCAGGTGCATTTTTGTTGCAGTTCCTGACACTCGGGGCGCTTTAATCTGCACACACGCTCAGGGGAGTGTTGCGGTGCAGTAGTAGCCTGTGAGTGAATGAGTCATGCATGCAGTCTGCTCTGATGATCGGCATTCCTTCAGGAGTCGTGATGTGTTTCTGTCTGCAAAAGTCAAACGAAGCTCCAATAGGAAATGTCACAATCTCCTACCCCAGGGGACTGGAGATCCCCTTCCTTGGGTGGTTAAAAATGGACTTGATTTGCGCTTCTGAGAAACTGACATGTGAAATCTTGTTCCTGATGTGGGAGGATGGACGCCGTCATTCATTCATTCATTCATCGAATCTTTCCTTTGACTGTTAATTGTTTAAAATCTCACAAGTAAAGGTGGAAAAGAGTTTTACTGATTTTCTTTGGGAATGGTGGAGGGGTAGAAGACTTCTCTCCTGATGGAAAGAGGAAAGATGAGGAATATGGCTTAATGTTATTCCTAACTTACCTTCTGCCCCTTCCCTCCAGAATTCTGTGTGCAAGTGTTTTAAGGAAATGAGTTGGGAGTTTGGGTAAGTGAGATCTAGATTTTGGGCATTTGTAGAAGTCCCCGGCTATCTGGGGGAGTTGTCACTCTTCTTTCAGCCTAGAGAAGGTGACTATGGGTGCTAGTGTGCTGTGGGGCACACTCGGGGGTGGGAAAGCTGCTGTGGAGTGGGATGTCCTCTGTGTGCATCATGGGGTCGAGTGTGGCCTTGGGATGACCTCATGAGACCTTGCTGCATTTCCTTGTATAGTTCCCTTGTCTAATCATGGCCTATTTTTGCTTTTCCTTCTTGAAACAAACCATTTTTCTCCCCTTTTCCTTTCTAGTTCAAGAAGGGCTGGGCCTGACCCATCTGAAGTTTCCCTCACCCTAAGTACTTAGGAAACGTGCTGAAGAGGAATGGACAGTCTTACCCATCTCATATCCCTAATTCCGGTACCCCATCAGTGAAAGAAAGAAAGATTATTTGGCAAGCTGGATTAGATTGCCATTTAGTTATGGTGCATGGACAAGGGGCTATTTTAAGGTTGATGGGGGAGGCTTTGCTTGTCATTTACTCTCCATTCACCAGACATTCAGTGCCCGTCATGTGCCAGGCACTGGGTTTACTGCTGTTAACAAGACTATAAGGCAGGTGAGGAGGATATTTAAAGAACTGGGCTGGGTACAGTGGCTTGTGCCTGTAATCCCAGTGCTTTGGGAGGCTGAAGCAGGAGGACTGCTTGAGGCCAGGAGTGTGAGACCAGCCTGGGCAACATAGTGACCCTCATCTCTACGAAAAATTAGCTGGGTGTGGCAGCGCGCTCCTGTGGTTGAAGCTACTCAGGAGGCTGAGGCAGGTGGAATGCTTGTGACCAAGAGTTTGAGACCAGGCTGGGCAACATAGTGACCCCCATCTCTACAACACATTTTTAAAAATTAGCTGGGAGTGGTGGTGCATGCCTGTAGTCCCAGCTACCCTGGAGGCTGAAGCAGGAGGATCACTTGAGCCCAGGAGTTCGAGGCTGCAGTGAGCTGTGATCACGCCAGTGCACTCCAGTCTGGGTGACAGAGTGAGAGCCTGTCGCTAAAAAATACATATACATATACATAAAAAAGAATTATACAAAATTACACAAAAATTGTTTAATTACAGTTAAGAGCTGGGAAGGGAAAGCACTGCTTGGTGAATTAAGGTATCTCAGAAAGAATGATGTCAATGCCATTGAAGGTGGGGGTTGGGTTTCTGATGGTGGAAATGTCAGGGTGGGTGGGTGCGGCGGGCCATGGAGCTGCATAGGGATTTGCCTAGCGCCCATCAGTTCAGAGCCTGCTGGTAGGGGCTTAGCTGAACAGATGAGGTGGACTGTTCAGTTCTGTCTGGAATTTGGCTGTGGGGTTCGGACACTTTGTCGCTTGGGATTGAAGGTGGATCGGGAAACCGTATGGTTCTGTCCCAGTGTCCTTGCTGAAGGTAAACCTCATGGCCAGTAGCCCTGGGAAGCCGGTTGTGGTAGGACGTGGTGTCCTGAGCTGGCCTGGATTCCAGAAGTGAGGACTTGTATCATGCAAAGGGCACCCAACTACAGCTGTGCCCACCAGAGGTTTTGTTGCAAATGAAAAGATAAGAGGAATTTGTGGGGAAAGAGTGAGAAGACTTATTTAAGAACATTATTCGGACTCAGATGAGCTGTAGGAAGGAAAACGGGGAGAGAGATGCAGAAAAAGGAGGTAATGTTGCTTTGACACCAGGTGAACTCTTGACTTTGGGACTGACTTTTTGTTTTTAAGTGAAAATAAATCTTTCAGCTTTAAAAATATTTAAAGAGTAAAATTGAGTTCTGAGATTCATGAGATGTATGTGATGGAAAAGAGTTTTTTTTTTTTTTTTTGTAGATCAAGGAATAGCAGTGATCCCACAGCAGGGTACACGCTGGCACTGAGAAAGAAGAAGGGCTTCCCCACAAAGAGGGAGTTGTGTTGAGTGTGTATGTTCTATGGAAATAGAAATCATTATTCAGCCGCAGATTCTACATTCTTTTATATTCCCTGACCAGAGATGTTTTACCAAAGGTGTGAGTTAAGCATATCTTTTTTTAAAAAACTGTAGAGATGGGGTCTCACTATGTTGCCCCGGCTGATCTTGAACTCCTGGGCTCAAGTGATCCTCCTGCCTTGGCCTCCCAAAGTGCTGGGATTATAGACGTGAGCCCCCAGGCCTAGCCTACCAAGGATGTGAGTTAAGCACACGTGAATAGTCCTAAAACAGGCCCTGTGGTCTGTAGTGGTGTTGGGGGCGTGTGTAAGTCACATGGGTTGGAGACAATAATGTTTCCTCCACACAGCAAAGTCTTGGGGTTTCTGCTGTGGCAGAGAGACTGGGGTGTAAGAACAGCACCCCCTTAGAGGCTGTGAGAGGGCAGGGGACCCTCTGGGCTGCTCAGCAGGCCTCTTCCTGGTGGGGCTGCTTAAGTCCTTAGCAGTCGGGAGACTTAGAAGTCTTGAAGTGGGGGGGGACACTGAGCCCCAGCAACCCTCAGGTTATGTATGTGTTGTCAAGTCTCCCGTAGAAACAAGGTAGAAAAAATGCAGGTTGCAGACTGGCTCTTCCGACCATGGCAGGTTTAGGTGCATGAGGTTAGAGGGTTGTGCCTCCTCATTCTCTCTCTCCTTTCTGTTGTCAGTGCTGACTTGAATTATGCTGGAACATCTCCAGGTGACAGCCCTGCCTGGCCACAGCCTGGGCCAGAGGAGTGGAGTTGCTGAACGGAGCAAGGTGCTGTAGGGGAAAGGTGTGGAGCTGTGAGCCTGGCCTCTCAGGGTGAGGATCCAGGCCCCAGCTCTTTGACCTCCAGCAAGTCCCGTAACCCCTTGAGCTCTAGTATTCTCATCTGTGAGGTCGCCTGGGTTATATGCACCTCCCATGCATGGTGGGGACATGTGGTCCCTGAGATTTGGCAAATGAGGGGTGTTTATGCTGTTATGCCAGTGCCCACAGCCTTTCAAAAAATGTTCTTTACAAAATGTTACTGCGATAAGAGCACTTAACATGAGATCTACCTTCTTAACAGATTTTTAAGCGTACGGTGTTTTATTGTTGACTGCAGGTGCAGTGTTGTAGGGCAGCTCTCTAGAGCTTATTCCTCTTGCTGAACTGAAACCTTGGGCCCATTGATTGGTAACTCCCCATTTTCCCCCACTGCAGTCCCTGACAACCACCATTCCACTCTTCAAGTCTATGAGTTTAGCTACTTAGATGCTTCATCTAAGAGGAGTCACATGGTATTTGTCCTTCTGTGCCTGGCTTCTTTCACTTGGTCCTCCAGGTTCATGCATGCTCGTGCTTGTGGCGGAACTGCTTCTTTTCTAAGGCTGCCTGGTATTCCACTGTATGTATATTACCACATGTGTTTACCCATTCATCTGTCCTTGATGGTTAAGCTGGTTCCACAAAACTCCTAGAAGAAAACATAGGGGAAGAGGTTCAGGACACTGGTCTTGGCAGTAATTACGCGGCTGCCACGCTAAAAGCACAGTCAACAAACCCAAAACTAAACCAGATTGCATCGAACTAAAAAGCTTCTGCACAGCAAAGGAAACAGTCAACGGAGTGAAAAGGCAACCTGTGGAATGGGGAAAAATGTTGGCAAACTACATATCCAATAAGGGGTTAATATCTGAGAAGTTTAAGGGATTTCCGCAAATCAACAGTAAAAAAATGAAGAACCCAACTAAAAAATGGGCTAAGGACTTAGACATTTCAACTCGGAGTTTTTTTTTATTATTTTGTCTTTTTGAGACAGAGTCTCACTCTGTCACCCAGGCTGGAGTGCAGTGGTGCCATCTCGGCTCACTGCAACCTCCACCTCCTGGGTTCAAGCGATTCTCCTGCCTCAGCCTCCTGAGTAGCTGGGATTACAGGCATGTGCCACCACGCCTGGCTCACTTTTGTATTTTTAGTAGAAATGGGGTTTCACCATATTGGCCAGGCTGGTCTTGAACTCCTGACCTCAAATGATCCGCCTGCCAATCCTCTCCCAAAGTGCTGGGATTACAGGTGTGAGCCACCGTGCCTGGCCTCAACTCAGAGTGTTAGTAATGCAGCCGGCAGTGATGTCAAGATGCGGACACAGGGACACTTGGAGGATGGGAGCTTTGTCCCTTGTCCCCACCTGCTCCTCAGTATCTCTTCATGCCTTCAGGAGAGTTTTAAAGATAACTGGGTTTTCATATTAGAAATAGCCTGTTTTATTCCATTCTTGGACAAGAGTTTTGGCATTGTTCCTAAAGTGTCATAGTAAAGTGTATAGGAAAGAGGGCTGTCATTACTGTGGTATAAGCTTTTCTGTGCCATTATTAATATATGGGACAGAGCATACTTTGTGAAAGTTAAAACTCACGCTTTATCCAAGTTTTAAGGTATCTGGTGAATGCTAATGAGTTTACAAAAATTGTACAGTCTTATGAAATCTTGCAGTATAAATAATCACAGGTGGTTTGTGAGTGTTTAATGTAGATGTATCAAAATTCCCATGTCCTGGAGGAAGTTGAGAATGCCATTTGTGCATATGCGTATGTAGAGGGGGCTTCATAATATTCTTTCCCTTGTAACTTGATTCTATTTGAAACACATAAAACTGGTCAGGGTTCTTTTTCATTTTTTCTTTTTTTAGTGGATGTGCAGGGTAAAGTAGTGTATCGGAAAGAGAGAGGCCTAGACTTGAAAGATTTTCAGACTTTTAAGCCTAAGCTTGCCATGAATGAGTATATGACTTTTGAGCATGTCATTATTTCTGTTTCCCAGCGTCGTCTTCTATAAAATGGAAATAGTCACACTCACCTACTTCTTAGAGTTGTCTTAGGGTGAGATAGAAGCCTGCATTCTTTATGCCTGCTTGTCCTTCTAGGGAATGCTCTGGAATTGGAACAGCATGTGGGCCACCCCTTAGGATAGGTGACTCTTAGAAGGTGAGAGGAGGCAGGGCGTCGGGTGTGCAAGAGAATCAGCTACATCATCTTTCAGGTTCCTGCTGCGGTGGGTGAATTCTGTTATTCTGTGCCCATGGAATGGGAGGTGTCATAGAAGTCATAGACATCAGACGTAGAGTTTGACCTGAGTGAGTCAGTTGCCCTCTTGGGGTTTGCATATTCTTACCTGTGAAATGCAGTAATAATACTGGTAATATTATTATTATCATCAATGAACAGTTTTTAATCATCTTATATGTGACCAGGCATGGTGTCAAGTTCTTTATGACATTTCTTCATTCATTCAGCAACTATTTAATGAATGCTGCCATATGCCAGTCATCGTTCCAGGCTCTGGGGATCAGTGGGATCACGGGCTAGCATGGTGGCTGGGACAGACAGACTCCCTGCCTGCATGGAGTTTATATGCTAGTGCATGACAGAAGGTAAACAGATACATGGATGAGGTGATTCCCATGGTCAGTGCTGTAAAGACAACTAAGTCAGTTCAGGGGGCTGGAGTCTGGTGGGAGAGCAGGTTGTGTTTTTATTAGGATGAGGCTCCTCCGAGGAGGAGAATTTGAGATCTGAGTGAGGCAAGGGGATGAGCCTCGCAGAAACAAGTGCAAATATCAGCCCAGTGGCTGGCAGGAGCTTGCTATGGAAGGAATGGCCAGAGGGCCTGTGTGGGAGGAGCCAGCGGCCAGGGCAGGAAGAGAGCTGTGCAGTGGGGTCCAAGGAGGTCTGGCAGGCCACGGTGAGGACGTGGCTCATGAGGAAGCCACAGGAGAGTTCTGAGCAGGGCGTGCAGGAGATGGACCTTGTATTTTGTCAGTGTGTCCCTGTGGTTGTGGAGGGCCACGGGGACTGCAGAGGGCCAGGAATAGAAGCAGGGAGACCAGCCGGGGTGCCGCTGGTGAGATGGATTGGAGTTGATACAAGAGAGAAAGGCATTGTGGGTGACACCTGCTCTTTTGGCCTCAGCCTTTGGGTGAAAGATGGTGCCATTGATTGATATGGGGAGACTGGTGGAGGATGAGCTTTATGATGTTCACATCAGCCTCTGGACTTAGTGTTGTTTTATTCCCATTTTACAGATGTGGAGACCAAGGGGGAGAGAAGTAAAAAGTTTGCCCTAGGACCTGGCCAACAAGGTGAAACCTGTCTCTACTAAAATTATAAAAATTAGCCAGGCGTGGTGGTGCACGCCTGTGGTCCCAGCTACTTGGGAGGCTGATGCAGGAGAATCGCTCGAACTCAGGAGGCGGAGGTTGCAGTGAGCTGAGCTCGAACCACTGTACTCCAGCCTGGGTGACAGAGCAAGACTCCCTCTCAAAAAAAAAAAAAAAAAAAAAGGTTGCCCTAGGAAGAAGCTGAGCCAGAATTAGGATCCAAGTCTGATCTATGCCCAAGTCTTGCGTTTTCAATCATTTTTGCTGGACTCTGTACATATCTGCATTTACTCTCATTGCGAGATTGATACGAAAGTACCTGCAGAAATGCTTGGGAGATGTATCTGTTTTGTTGTTAGCATAGCTTTATTGCGGTATAATTTATATTCCATACAATTCACCCATTATATGTACACAGTTGTGTAATTTTTAGTAACTTTATAAGGGTGGGCAGCCTCCCCCCAGTCCAGTTTTTAGACTTTGCAGTCAGTTCCCCCTCCCACCCCCAGTCTTAGTTAATCAGTGATCTTTTCTCTTGTCTGTAGCGTTTTGCCTTTGTACAGGTAGAATCACAGTGTGGCCTCTCTCTTGGGTCTGGTTTTGTTCATGTAGCATAGTGTTTCTGAAGTCCATCCATTGTTGCCTAAGACATCTGCTTTTAAGGAACCTTCTTAGAGTTTGTCATCTATCATAAGAGATACCCTGTGCTGATGAGAAAAAGGTCCACTGAGATGTGCCTTAAGATGAGAATAAAAATAACAGTGGCCAGCATTTCCCGAGCATTTGTTATATGCCAGGCACAGTTATGGCCATTATTTTCTGTGATTTCTAGAAATCAGTTGTAGAGGCACCAACCAATGCAGTTCCATGAGAGGTGCCATGATCAGTGTTTTTCAACAAGGGAGGTTAAAAGCTTGCTCGGGGTTTTAAGAGCTGGGATCAGACTTGGGCCTTCTTCTCATGGAGCTGTGTCTTTACTGCTTCTTCACACGCCCTTCACCATGTGTTTGAGGCTTGTGTCTTCGTAGCCTCACAAAGAGATTGGGATTCCAGTTGGAGAATGCATTTGCCAGTTTTGTTTTTTTTTGTTTTTTTTTTTTTTTTGGCAGGGTCTTGCTCTGTCATGGAGGCTGGAGTGCAGCAGTGCCACCATAGCTCACTGCAGCCTTGAACTCCTGGGCTCAAGGGATCTTCCCACCTCAGCTTCCTGAGTAGCTAGGACTGCAGAGCGCTTCACCACTCTAATTTTTAAATTTTATATTTTGTAGAGATGAAGTCTTGTTCTGTTGCCCGGTTGGTCTTGAACTCCTGGCCTCAAGCAATCCTTTTGCGTTGGCCTCCCAAAGTACGGGTGTGAGCCACCGTGCCTGGCTGAAAATTGTAGTTTTAAGGGGAATATTTGTACTGAATTTTTATTTTGGCATTACCGTATGGAGATGATAGTGTCTTAAAGTGATCCATTTGTGAAGTATTCTTAGGCATAGTGTCAGAATGGCACCAAATTAAAAACACATAATTATGTCATCAGGCAGAGCCTGTGTGTTTGAGTTGTTTTAAATGTTGTGTTTACCAGAAATGCCATTTTTGTACAGAGTGCCCCAAGGCTGTTACCCTATTAATGAATGGAATTTAATTAGGCATCATGCATTTTTCAACATGTTTATCTAATTGTATTATGTATAATACATTTTACTCTCGAACAGTTCTATATCTAAACGGTATTTTTTCCTGCCACATATAGTCTATATTGGAAGATTTCATAGTTTTGTATTGCAGAGGAGTTCTTTGTATATCCCAAGAATTCTGAAATTTTGGAAAAGATTTTAAACACCTTACACACTCAAGTAGCTTGGTAAGAGCTGGTTACATAATTTTAGCCATGATAAGCAATAATTTTCTTTTTTTTTTTTTTGAGACAGATTCTCAGTCTCGTCCCCTGGCTGGAGTACAGTGGTGTGATCTCAGCTCACTGCAACCCCCACTTCCCAGGTTCAAGCGATTCTCCTGCCTCAGCCTCCTGAGTAGCTGGGATTACAGGTGCCCGCCACTGTGCCTGGCTAATTTTTGTTTATTTGTTAATTTTTATTTTTATTAGACATGGGGTTTCACCATATTGGCCAGGCTGGTCTCGAATTCCTGGCCTCAAGTGATCCGCCCACCTCAGCCTCCCAAAGTGCCACTGCGCCCGGCCAGCAGTAAACTTTCTTGAATAAGAATTAGTGTTACACTGGGTTCTACCCCTGGTTGCTGGTAGAACAGTTTTTACTGGTGTCACATCTTCCTAAACTTTCTCAAATGGAATTATGGTGTCGTTAAACTTATTTTTCACGTTTAGTATGTTTTTCTCTTTTAAGGATTTTTAATTATAATTTTAGTTTACTAGTTCAAAGTAGCAAACAAAAAAGCTTTTTATGTTAGAATACCTAGTTTTAAGAATAAAAATTAAGAATTAATAATATTAAATTTTAATTTAAAAAGACTTCGTTCAAATCTTTGTTGATCTCTTTATCTGGGTAGGACCCCAGGGAAGTCTGCCATTTTTTAAAATATTAACCCGCTGAATGGTGGGCCTTTGAAATGAGTGAAAGAGGTCAACCATTGTTCCATATTTGTTGGGCAATTCCAGGCAGTGCAGTGGCCAGTTAGAAATCCTCACGACTTGAGCTGGAAGCCTGGGGGAAAGTAGGATTTGGGGGCAGAGGTAGGTACTGGAATGGTGCAGTGAAGAAGCTGTTATCTTCCGTTGCCAAGGGACTCTGTTCAGCTTTAATCTGTGTCCTGGCTGGACGGTGCATGTCAGCTGCCCAGGCTACCAGTGTGCAGGGCGCAGGAGTTAGAAGCAGGCCCCAGTCTGTTTCTTTTTCCATTCCAGAATCGCTTCTGACTGGCACATGCCTTGAAGAGAGGAGATATTATCTTGCAAAACTGATCCAAGTAAAATTGAAATTGCAGGGAGTAAAAATTGGGCTGTACATGTAATGCATGCACTTTATGCAAGTTATGCCTCAATTATATATTTTTAAAAAGATACACGAAAAACAAAGCCAAACTACAAAACCCCTGGGTAGAAATGCAGGATTAGACACTGTTAAGGATGCAAAATCTAAGCCACCTGTTAGGTGTTGTCTCTTTTTCTCCCCTTTCACTTCAGAGGTGCCTTGTTTTGATTCACGTGATAAATTGACTCTGGACAGACCTGTGATTTTATGCTTTTTTATGTGAATGGCTTTCCCATGAAGCCTCAGAGTTGCTACGAACCTGCTGGCAAAAATTTCCAGCAAAGGAACCTGTACATTTCCGCACTAGTAGCCCCAGGAACTGCCTCTTCCTTTGCCAAAGCTGAATCATCTTACCTGAGGGTTTCTTGGTCCTGAGCTGGGTGTGGCCCAGCCATTCATAGCCTAGTTTCTGTGCTGGGCCCTGACCTTTCAACTCGGGGATGGCTGGGCATGCAGTTTGGGAAATCAGATGGCACGGGATCGGGGAAGCCCAGGGATCTGCTGAACTTCCCACCTCCCCAGCATTGATTTCATCCCTTATTCACTTAGAAATGGCTTTTCTTAAGGACCAGGATTTGAACAAAGTCTGTCCAATGCATTTGATGGTTATGCCTTTTAAAGCTGTATACATATAGAACAGTTCCTTTACCCCCACCCCTTCCCCCCATGCTATTGACTTGTTGAAGGAATCAGGTCACTTGTTCCGTAGAATGTTCCACATTCTGGATTTGGGTGCTGGGTTTCTTTTAAACTCATCCCACTAGTCCCTGTATTTCTGTAAACTGGAAGTTATCATGAAAGCTTGATCAGATTCATGTGCAGTGTTTTTGGCAGGATTAATTTGTTGGTATCATCTGGCTTAACGTTGCCTCAGCTTAGGAAAAGGTCTGACTGTCTCACGTGTAGTGATTCTAAAACTGAGCGTTGGGGTCCTGTGGTGGGTGGCAGCTTGACCCTTTCATTTCCTCATCGATCTTTCTCCCAATGCCGTTAGCATTCATCGATGACTGTTGTTTGAATTAATTATTTCATTAGAGATTGTTGATTCTTCTCTCTTAATGAGATGGCAGTGAGCATGAGATGAGATTTAAACTGACCAGGGTATCGGGGAAAACTGACAACATTGATACAGCTTAGGGGCATCTACAGAATTCACAGAAAAAAGCAAAGATTGGCTTGGCTCTTGCAGTTACTGTGAGCGCCTCCTGTTATTAAAGTTAATTACCGTTTGCACGGTCTTCTGTGGATGTTACCCTGTCAGGTTAATTTTGTTATTTAAGTCTTGAGTTGCAGCAATATTAAATTCTGTGCATATGTGCTAACTCTCTTTTTTATGTAACTTGGGTGCCTGTTCACCTAAGTTAGGAGAGAATGACCTAGGTTTAGGAGGTAGAATTCCCCGTGATGGTGCAGACCATGATAGAGAGTATCTTTTTCAATTGTCATTTTAAATTTTCTGACTTGTAAGGAGACATTCATGCTCAGTCTTTTCTTATAAAAGATCAGTCATTGATGAGTTTAAGATAACTAGAGGAGAATGATACATCTGAAATAGTTTTGTGTTTTCTTCTGCAAACATACGGAAGAAATGGATCTTTTTTTTTTTTTTTTTTTTTTGAGATGGAGTTTTGCTCTTGTTGCCCAGGCTGGAGTGCAGTGGAACGATCTCGGCTCACTGCAACCTCCGCCTCCTGGATTCATGTGATTCTCCTGCCTCAGCCTCTCAAGTAGCTGGGATTACAGGCACGTGCTACCACACCCATCTAATTTTGTGTTTTTTTTTTTTTAGTAGAGACAGGGTTTCTCCATGTTGGTCAGGCTGGTCTCGAATTTCTGACCTTGGGTGATCCGCCTGCCTCACCCTCCCAAAGTGCTGGGATTACAGGCATGAGCCACTACGCCTGGCTGAGAAATGGATCTCTTAATGGCACCTCTCAACTTCATTGTTAAGAGTGTTTGGAGAGGGTAGATACTTGAATTGTTTCTGTTAGGAAGAAATTGAGAGTTCCTTTGGAAGAAGCATGATCGTAGCGAATGAATTTAATTTACATATGCTCCATCAGCACCAGGCTGCACGGTGACATACTACATCCGCAGTTTGATTTTGGGACAACTTCCATACTTGAAGGCTACCAGAATGGAAATATATTGATTCTAACTATCATGGGCAAGCCTGTCTTTTGCCACAATGTGTTGTTTGAAACCTATTTGTTAAAAGGATCATTATAAAGTAGGTTCTAGGATTCCCATAGTCACAGTCTCATTCTGAGGAGTCGTGCTGTTGACCAAACACTTGATTTCATATAAATCATGGCTGTGACCAATAAGTCCTAAAAGAAAGATGTGAAAACTAGAAACGTGGAAGAGTTTGAAATCATAAATGTTGCTTCTGTTGTCAGAGAGGTCTTGAGCTTGGAGAAGCCATAGAAATGAAGAGGTCATCTAATCAAGATTCTTCATTTTTGGTGAATAAACCAACGCTTAGATGTGTTAAATTGCTTGCCCAAGACCACACAGCTAATGATTTGTAGAGTTGGAACCAAAACTCATCCTGGAATAAGGACCATTAGTACGTTAAGTGTTTCTTTTGAACATGTTAAATGCTTCTTACATGCATCATTTTTGGATCCTCATGACAACCCTGTGATTTAGGACTGTAATTGGTTTTATTTTCTGAGGAGGATGTTGAGGCATAGAGACATTGAATATCTTGCCCAGGATCACCCAGGACTGAGATATATTCACTGCAAAGAATGTGCTTTTCTTTTTTTTAATTTTTAAAATTTTTAAATTTTGCTTTATGTTCTGGGCTACATGTGCAGTACATGCAGGATTCTTACATAGGTATACATGTGCCACGGTGGTTTGGCGCACCCATCAATCTGTCATCTAGGTTTTAAGCCCCGCATACATTTGGTATTTGTCCTAATGCTTTCCCTCCCCTTGCCCCTCATCCCCCAAGAATGTACTCTTATTCACCCTATGGTGTACTGCCTTCTGATTCATTCAGTCATTCATTTCTTCCTTGTTATTATTATTACTGTTTAAAATTCATTATTTCGTGTTAAAGGAATGCCTTATTCCTAACAGCCCAGAAACATTGCCTTTCAAGGACTTTCCATATACTCTTAAAATCTATATTTTTAAAAACCTACCAGCTCTAATTATTGCAGATATAGTCAGTGGAAATCACTAGCTATAATAAATGTTATTTGAATAATTGGTAATTGTGCCTGGCTTACTAGTATTTGAAAAAGCTTTCAGATTATAGATGGTTCAGGACTCTTATAAGATGTCTAGGTAAGTTTGAACTGATAGTTTCTTTCTTTTGATAAATGTCCTATGCCAACCTACAGCTTTAAAAATAATTCCTTTGACCATTCTTTTAAAAAGTCACCACTTACTCTTTTTTTTCTTTTCTTTTTTTTTTTTTGAGACAGTCTCGGTGTGTCACCTAGGCTGTAGTGCAGTGATGTTATCTCGGCTCACTGCAACCTCCTGGGCTCAAGTGATTCTCCTGCCTCAGCCTCCCAAGTAGCTGAGACCACCGGCATGCACCACCACACCCGGCTAATTTTTGTATTTTTAGTAAGGATGGGGTTTCACCACGTTGACCAGGCTGGTCTCGAACTCCTGACCTCAAGTGATCTGCCTGCTTTGGCCTCCCAAAGTGCTGGGATTACAGGCGTGAGTCACTGCGCCCAGCCTCACCACTTATTCTTTAAATTCTTGGAAACATCATGAAGGAATCAACTTGGGATGGGTTTGGAGCCCTCCTTCTCTCTCTTCTTCCTCCTTTTCACTCCCCTTCAGTAACAGTAACATCCTGGGGAGCTCTGAAGCTGAGATTTCATAAAGATCAGATGTGTTTTTGGGAGACAGCGTGTGTGGGGTGATGGGTGGGGAGGAGTGGAGGTGAGAAGTCACCCTGTGGCATGGGAGAGGATGTTTGATGTTGATTTTCTGAGTGTCAGCCTCCTGTTTCTCAGGACGGTTGGTTGACTGTCTTTTTCTCTACTTGCGCTGCCCACAAAGAGCCAGATGTGGGTGCCTCCGGGGGTTTATGGGACCCACTTACCTGTGTGAAGCTGGCTTACAGAGAGGGGAGAATGGGTAGACCCTGGTAGCGTCCAGGGAGACTTTCACGTGGGCGTGGTTTGTACTCTGACCCACTGGTGACTTTAAACAATTTGTCATCAAATACCACAGTTGGCTTTGCAGCTATCTGGTATTTGTGCCTGGAGTAGGTTTGTTTGTTTTGTTTTAAATGCTTCTAAATTACAATTCTTTGTGAGCTTCCTGTTTCCTACTTACAGCTGAAATATGTGATGACTGACTCTACCAGGACTGCTTTTTTCCCCTTTTCTGCATTTGTGCTGGAAACAGAACAGCTTGCACGCACAGCCTGGAGCATGTTGCCTGCATGTGCTTCTTGGTGGACGTGAGCACATGGCTGACTAATTTCAAAAACCGCCTATTTATATCCTCTTCAGAAGCGCTGTCAGACATTAGGCACTCTCTCTACTAACGTCACGTCGATTAATATGGATTTTAAAATGGAAGTAAATTATTTTTTACTCATGGGTGAGTCATTAGATAGTCTTTTTTAAATATACATCCCACCATTTCTCTCAAGGGTGTCACACTGGTAATTGTCCCATGCTG
Organism: Homo sapiens; assembly: GCF_000001405.40. Classification (NCBI taxonomy): domain Eukaryota; kingdom Metazoa; phylum Chordata; class Mammalia; order Primates; family Hominidae; genus Homo; species Homo sapiens. The sequence goes on along the minus strand of NC_000010.11, from coordinate 14,587,941 downwards.
GAGTTTTCAGCAGTTATCATAGGATTGAGTGCAGGAGGAGGCTGTGGAGAACACCTAACCCTCTGATTTTATAGATGAAATGACAGCCCAGGGTTGCTGAATTACTGAGAGCTCAAAGCTCCTTGGTGCAAATCTAGGACTAGAGCTCTCTCCTCCCGTAGCTTCGAATTGAGCACAGTGTCCTTTACTGTCACCCACCTTGCCTCACCCTACCTACCCCACATGCTGGCACTTGCCACCACAAAAGAATAAAAACAAGGACAGGAAACAAAACTTCCTAGTTGCTAGGGTTGTGGTGACGATTTTATAGCAGAAAAGAAAATAATGTTTAAGATATGTAATCCTAAAGAAACTGTCTTTTTTTGGATGTTTGTGTAAGACAAATTCTTATTCATACTAATGGAAAGTCTTAAAAACATTAAACATGAAAAATAGTTGTTCATACCATGAAAATAAGCCTAGGCATTTATTTAAATGTATGAGAACTATCTTTGTCGACTGTGTCTGTTGTCCACATTTTGACTTCTAGGGCTAAGCAACTTCCCGCGATTGGATAAATATGGGAGTTCTTTCTAAATAAATATATGAGAATATATTTCTGTGCATAAATACATGAGAATAAATACATGAGTACCTGCATTGTGTCTTACACTGTCATTATCCTCAGGCTTTTTTCAGATGTATGTTGTCATTTATTAGTTCCGACACTGGCGCATTAGAAGGACGATGAACTTTTTGCTAGATAGACCTAGGTGGCATGTCGTAAGTGCTTTTATCTTGGTGAGTTCAAGTTTTCTCATCTCTGCAGTGTGACTATTATCAGGCAGGAAAAGCACCTGGCACAGTGCCTGTACACAGGTGTGAACAGAGGTTAGTGTCTGCTCCCCCAAGGTGGTGTTGTGATGTGATGTCATACGTGATTGTTTACACTCTCACCTGATGGGCGAGACTATTCCATTCTCATAGGACTCAATGAGAGAGAGTTTGTCCCAGGATTGGGGTGAATGTTTCACCTATATCATCCTCTTGGGCCTTCTCCACCTGAAATGTAGCCTAGTTTGATAAGCAGTGGTAGAATACAGAGACAGGTTAGGAACCTGGTGGGGGTAGAGGGTCCATACTGGAGCTCTGGGATCTAATTGGAGAGTGGAGGAGCGACCCTGGGCTCAAAGGTATGGCTGTCTTCATCCATTTGGGCTGCTGTAACAAATACCACAGACGGGGTGGCTTAAACAGCATTTATTTCTCACAGTTCTGGAGGTTGGGAACTCCAAGATCAAAGATGCTGGCAGATTTGGTGTCTGGTGAGGGCTCCCTTCGTGTTTTGTAGAAGGCCACCTTTTTGCTGTATCCCCACATGGTGGAGAGGGAGATCATCTGCCTGGTGTCTCTTTTTCTAAGGGCACTAATCCCATTCATGAGGGCTCCACTTCTATGACTTAATTACTTCCCCTAAGCCCCACTTCCAAATATCATCACGTTGGGATTAGGGCTTAAATAATATGAATTTATGGTGGAGGAGGAAAAAATATTCAGTCCATAGCCATGGCCAAGGTGAGCAGAGGCTTCAAGTCTATGGGCAGGCAGGATTCTCATCTCATATATTTTTTTCTTTTATTTTTAAATCTACCACAGAGACGTTCTTTGCTACAGGTAGGATTCTTAAAAGCAAAGCAGTGTTCTGAAGAGAAGGTGGGTTTTCAGTGGCCTGGGATGGAGGAGGATAAGGAGGATGTGAGTTGTAGAAGTGAGAGTGAGGCTGAAGGTCAGGAATTGAACTAGCACATGAGGAATTCGGGTCAGGAGGTCACCAGTAACCAGGAGTTGACAGTGATGCGGACTCAGTGCCCTTGCCCAGGTATTTTGTTGCTTGCTGGGTTCCTGTTTATGCAGGAGCTGATTGCTGGCTGGGAGCACCCCTGCACGCCCAAGCAAGAGGGATCCAGGGTCAGCAGTTAGTGGCAGGAGAACCCCCTGAGGGTGCCTTGTATGCAGGGAGAGTGCATTTCCTGTTTGGTTTGGGACGAGCCTGGTCCAGGTGTAATTAGTAACAGAGGCTTCCTCCTTACTCAGCAATGACTGCTGTGGTCGACAATTAATATGGTCACCCTACTCACGAGTACTTGGTTGCAGAGAAGTATTTGTTATGTGTATGAGTGAAGATCCTGACCAAAGATTTGACCACACAAGGTTCTGTGGTGAGTCCATGGTTTACCTGTCTCATGGGCGGAGCTTGGCTGCCTCTCTTTGTGTACTTGTTATTTGAATTCCAAAGAACGTTCTGCGCCACACTTTTCAGAGCTCTTTTCTCCCAGTGTGTGTTTTAGATGGCCGTCTGTTTTGTCATTGATAAGCTAATTCTGTAAACCTCAGGGCAGCTGCACATGCAGCATCTGTAATTGCACCTCTGTAATTGGCTGGAGTGCTCGAGAGACTGTACTTGCTTTTCCTGGCGCCCCCCAGGGTCCGTGGCTTCACCTAAAGGCTTGGTGGCAGGGACTGGTGAGAGAGGGAAGAGGAAGAGAGGAGGGAGAGGATTCTTGGTCTTCTACTCATCAGCCTGGTTGACAGGGGCTGGGAAAGTCTGATTCTTAGTTGACTGCCGGGAAGATGGGGCTTGCGAGAGTGGAGGGGGCTGAGGTGGGGTCCAGGTGTTACTAGTGGAGGGTGTCCAGGTTCTTGGCATTTTGAACAAAGAATTGGACAAAACGCACAAACAAAGCAAGGAAAGAATGAAGCAACAAAAGCAGAAATTTATTGAAAACAAAAGTACACTCTACAGGGTGGGAGCGGGCTGGGCATAGGGGCTCAAGAGCCCGGTTACAGAATTTTCTTGGGTTTAAATACCCTCTAGAGGTGTCCCTTTGGTTACTTGGTGTACACCTTGTGTAAATGAACTAATGGCTCACTATTGGTCTGATTGGTTATTTGAATCAGCAAGAGGGGAGCAATCAGAGGCTGAAGCGAAGTTACAAAGTTACACCCTGTGCCAACATCTGATTGGTTGCAGGAAGCAACCAATTACAGGCTGAAGTGAAGTTACAAAGTTATACTCCTGTGCAAATGAAGACTTGGCCTGTGACCAGCCTGATTGGTTGGAAGAGGGGACCAAGCAGAGGTCCTTTCAGTTTCACCTGCCATGCAGAAAAGGTGGGGGTTGCAAGGGGAGTGGCCTCCGGTCCTTTTGTTACATAGGTGTGGAAAGTTGGGGTTATCCTTTTGATTTAGTTCTAGGAAGTCAGTGTGAATCGGCCTTAGGTTCCCTGCCTCCAGCCCCTATTCTCCTGCCTCACAGGGTCCGTATCTTGGAGCTGTTTATAATTGTAGGGAGAGCACTGCACGTGTGTTCCTGGTTTTCTTTTGGTGTGGTTTCTCCATCCCTTTTGGGAGGAGTTGATGCACTTCCTTGAATTTCTGCACCAACTATTTTATTTGGATCACAGCATCTTACAGGCTGTTGTCATGTTTTGAGACTTTTTTGTTTATGGTGAAAATGGAGCGAAAGACTCTGAGTGCCGAGGGCCATGGGGTGCGAAAGCATAATTCTCATCGGCAGCTGGACCTCGGAGGTCCTTTTCCACCTTGGGGTTTTCCCCTGGTCACTTGGTTATACACTGCGTTTTTCCATATCTGGTTGGCAACTCTGAGGACAGGGACCCTTGGCATCCTCATCTTTGTGTCTCTTTAGGGTCCTATAGGGCTTAAGTGCTTCTTCCTGAGTCATTGCTGCTACTCAGCTGAGACACCAACGAGCTACCCAGATCAGACCCAGAGTGTTGCTGCTTATTTAGGTGGCAGCCTCAGGGCTGGGCATCAGGAGGGCCTGTCTTGCTTGGTCCCTCCATCAGTCTTTCTTTCGGACCCAGTATGTCTCAGCATCTGGATCTGCCGGAGTAGCTAGGAACTCCTACTGAAAGGCAGTGTTTATTTCTGTGTTGGTGTCATTTTAGTCCCACACTTCCTGAACTCAAAACCCTCTTTCCTAAGACTTGCCATGAAACACTCCTATGAACAACGGTGACCACGAGTCCCTTTCGGGGAGAGTGTCGTTTTGTACTTTGTATTGTGTCCCAGGCCCTGGATCCTGAGGGGTGGCCTTGGGTCTAGGAGAGCGCTCAACAGGGTTCGCCTATAGAAGATTCTTCCGGTGAATGGACGAACTTGTGGCCTTGTCCAGTGGTTTCTTTTCCTTTTTCCCTGTAGTTTCCTTCCACTGTCAACTTTTCCCCCTCCTTCATAGCAGCAGGTGTTGGCAAGGACGTGCCCAGATTAGTTAGGCCCAGCCTCTTCTTCTTCCTCCGTCCCCACCCACCTTACCTTTAGGACTGGGGTGGGGTGATGTGTCTGGCCACAACTTCCGCGACCACTTTTTAAAAAAATTAAAAATGGAGAGCCACGCCACATGCTTGTGACTTCCACAGGTGAAAGAATACTCAGCTCTAGAAGGGCGGAGGTGAGTGGGTGGTGACTTCCCGCTAAGGTGAGCTTGGGTCCTGTTTTCAGAGTTCTGTGGTCTGTGCTGCGGTCCTGCGCTTCATGTCATCTGTCACTAAGGTGCAGCAGCAGCTACTTTCCCTGCAGTATCTTCATCTCCGACTCTGCCCCGCGAGGGCCCTGACTCTCAAATAAGACACAGGCTGTCCTGTTAGCCAAGCAGAAGGGATATGTCCTCTTCTCTCTCCCTGGGTAACTTCTGCCAGATGAAGAATTTTCCTCCTTCTGGTTTCTTTAGTTGGAGAAATAGTAATAGTATGATTTATCAGGCTCTGGAATGAGACTGCCGGGCCCACCTTCCAGGTCTGCCGTTTACCAGCTTTGGCTTTCTTTCTTTCTTTTCTTTTTTTTTTTTTTTTTTGAGACAGAGTCTCACTGTTTTGCCCAGGCTGGAGTGCAGTGGCGCGATCTCCGCTTACTGCAGCCTCCACCCCGCTGGGTTCAAGCAATTCTCCTGCCTTAGCCTCCCAAGTAGCTGGGATTATAGGGGCACGCCACTCTGCCCGGCTAATTTTTGTATTTTTAGTAGAGATGGGGTTTTGCCATGTTGGCCAGGCCGATCTCGAACTCCTGACCTCAGGTGGTTCACGTGCCTTGGCCTCCCAAAGTGCTGGGATTATAGGCGTAAGCCACCATGCCCGGCGAGTTTCGTCTTTCTTATCAATAAAATAATAGTGCCTCCTTCATAGAGTTATACAGTAATAAAGTTGGTGTAAGAGTAGTGTGCCTCCATGGAATAAGTACTCAGTACAACGTTAAAACATGTGGGTAGGCTGGGTGTGGTGGCTCACGCCTGTAATCCCAGCTCTTTGGGAGGCCGAGGGGGGCAGATCACAAGGTCAGGAGATCGAGACCATCCTGGTTAACATGGTGAAACCCTGTCTCTACTAAAAATACAAAAAATTAGCCGGGTGTGGTGGCAGGCGCCTGTTAGTCCCAGCTACTCGGGAGGCTGAGGCAGGAGAATTGCTTGAATCCAGGAGGCGGAGGTTGCCGTGAGCAGAGATTGTGCCACTGCACTCCAGCCTGGGCAACAGAGTGAGACTCTGTCTCAAAAAAAAAAAAAAAAAAAGAAAAGAAAAAACAAAAACAAACATGGGTATGTGGTTGCAATAACTTACACTTCGATGCTCTGGTACTGTTTTTAGAAAGACCATTATTTATCTCCCAGAGGTGTGGTCACAGTTTATTATCTAATCAGGATTAGAGTGAATTGTTTGAAAACTTAGTGTATATTTACGGGGATAGCAAAGAAGGATATTTGAAACTGAAGTATCCTAGCAACCTTGGATCCCTTTGGTAACCCATGGCAAACAGGCTGCTGCTGCTATTCTCTATGGTTGAAGACAGGGTTTTATTCTTATGTGCCATAACTGGGAGTGTCAACTTTTGTCACAAAGAATGTGTCAACAATATGCCAAAGTTGAAACTGTCAACTTGGGCAAGCATCCTATACAATTTTAAACAATACCAAATTCTGTACAGCTGTCTCCTTATGATAAATGGGCATTGATTTTATTTATATTTATTTTATTTTTTTGAGACATGGTCTTGCTCTGTTACCCAGTCTGGAGTACAGTGATGTGATGTGACCACAGTTCACTGCAGCCCTGGACTCCTGGACTCAAGTGATCCTCCCACCCCAGCCTCCCGAGTAGCTGGGACCGTGGGTGTGCACCACCACGCTCACTTGAGTTTTACTATGTTTTTGTAGAAACAGGGTCTTGCTATGGTGCCCAGGCTGTTCTCCAACTCTTGACCTCAAACAGTCATCCTGCCTTGACCTTCCAAAGAGCTGGGAGTACAAGTATGAGCCACCGCGCCTGGCTGGGCATTGATTTTAAAACTGCTCCTGGTGTGGACACCTGCCGGTGATGGCAGCCAGAATTAGATGTCTGCTGGGAACATCCTGATGGCTGGATGAGGCTGTGGCAGGGATGGCTCTGAACGAACGTCTTTCAGGCCAGTTAATTTTTCCACTGCATTTGGTGGCCTGGAACTCTGACACTTGAATCAACTGCTTCTTGAGTTGTGGAATGCATCTGAGGCTGAGCCTGACCCGGGTTCCAGCCGCTTCCCTCGTGGCACCCTACCGCAGCCACATTGGCCTCTTTGCTGTTTTCCCTAAGCAGCGATTCAGGTGCTTGCCCAGGGCCTCTGTGTTTCTCCAGATCCCTGTCAGGAAAACTTGGGCCAAATGTGCTGCAGAGGCCTCCGGGCCACCCTTTATAAATGCGACATCTGACGCGCAACGCTCTCTTACTCAGCTCTTGTTATTTTTCTTCCGAGCACTGCACCAGACCGATTGCAGATATGTGCGTGCTCATTTGCAAATTGCCTGTCCTCCTCCTCCCCTGGCCCGGCCGCTAGAACCTACATTTCATAGACTTTGGGTTTTGTATCTGCTGTTTCCAGCAGCAGAGACTTGCTTTAGTTCTTGCTCTGATTTGCTGTAACTTCAGGTGCATTCAGCCAGGTGAGATTGCTTATTGAACTTACCAAAGCAACAGAGTAAGAGTTCTGGAGGTTTTAATCACTGTGCTCTCAATAAGCCAACAGAAGGAAATGATCTCTGGGAAGAACGTTCTGCAGAATACATTACGTTCCATCTTGGTATGAAGTTAGGATCCTGGGAGGCCAAGTGTGAGGATCCTGCTAGCATTTTCTTTCAGTGAATTAAAATGATTTAAAGAGCAGTGAATTAAAGGCTAGGCATAATCCTATGTCTTTGGCCTTTAACAGTTTTTTTTTTTTAATAAAACACAGCTATGTGTTCAGTATGCTTTTATTTGGCATGAATGAATAAAGGCTTTTGTCCATGCTGTAGTGCGCTGTTCCTTGTGTAACATTCCATGTGGAAAACTTCTTTTAGACAATCATACCATGATATTTTTTCTTTTCCTTGAGAAGATGGATACTTATTTTTTTTTCTAAGAATGTATAGTATGTACCTTTTTATTTTTGGTCCTGGCCCCCAGGAAACTCAAAACCACACTTAATACAGAGATCTGGAAATTATATTAGCCCTTGTGTGTACCACTTGCTGTTTCTTTTGTAGGGTGGCCTTGACTTACTTACTTTTTTTTTTGGCACGGAGTCTTGCTCTGTCGTGCAGGCTGGAGTGCAGTGGCATGATCTCGGCTCACTGCAAGCTCCACCTCCTGGGTTCACGCCATTCTCCTGTCTCAGCCTCCCAAGTAGCTGGGGCTACAGGCACCCACCACCATGCCCAGCTAATTTTTTTGGATTTTTAGTAGAGACAGGGTTTCACCATATTAGCCAGGATGGTCTTGATCTCCTGACCTCATGATCCACCCACCTGGGCCTCCCAAAGTGCTGGGATTACAGGCTTGAGCCACCGCACCCAGCCTGGCTTTCTAATGTTATTTTATTTACCTAGTTGAATGTATGACTTTTTTTTTTTTTTTGAAATGAAGTCTTGCTGTAACACATGCTGGAGTGTAATGGCATGATCTCAGCTCACTGCAACTTCTGCTTCCTGGGTTCAAGCAATTCTTCTGCCTCAGCCTCCCAAGTATCTGGGACTGCAGGTGCCTGCCATCATGCTTGGCTAATTTTTGTATTTTTAGTAGAGATGGGGTTTCACCGTATTGGCCAGGCTGGTCTCGAACTCCTGACCTCAAGTGATCTGTCCTCAGCCTCCCAAATGCTGGGATTACAGGCATGAGACATGTATGACTTTTAACACACTCCAAATCTTTTTTGGAAGGAACTAGTGAATGACAGAACAGTTTTATCCTCCTCTTATCTCCTAATATGGGGTATTGAGTAACAAACTTGGTTTTGAAATTCTGTTGCCCTTGTGTGCTTTTACTTGGGTAATGCAACTAACAGAAATTTCTGGATTTGCTTAAGTAGAATTTCCATTTCTTTGCTTGATAAAGCCCAGGGTTGCAATTTTAGGGCAGTTACCAGCCAGGTAGAGAGGTAGGAACGGTTTTGAGATGACCCTCTCACTGGTTTCCTCTGTTTATTCTAATTGTGAGATTTTGGTTACTTTGCAATAGAGGGTTTAGATATGCACTGCTTTACAGCAACCGGGTAACTGGCTTCTGAAGATTGAATATACGGTTTCTTCAGCATTGCTGTTTCCAAAAGAGTTTAGTTTGTTTTCATTCATTGACTTAGTGCCTTCCTCTGTTCAAGGAATTCTACTAATTGGTATGGGTGTTTCCAAATGATGCTTAGCTGGCCGACCCTTCTTTGGAGAAGCTTACATTTAAAAAAATTAATTTTCACAATTGGTATGTCAAATTGGTAATTATTTCAGAAGCAAATTAAGATAACATCTTAGAAAATCAATTTATGGACTTGAGCCGAGTGCTTCATACAACGAATGGGTTTTTTCTAGGTGTTTGTCACCGGGAATTTTCCTGAGAGGCTTGTATATATTAATAGAAAAGGAGTGTAGCTTTTTTTTCTCTTCGTTATAATTTAGGTAAAGTCTTACAATGTGTGAACAAGGCTGTCATTTTTAGCTTGCGTTTGAACGAAAACATGCTATACTTTTTGGAGACCCTGATTGAGTAATCAGTACTTGGGGTAGTGATAAACCACAGGTGAGCTAACTTGCGGCATTCTTTAGATTAAAATTTGATCGTCATTGTTTGTTCCCAACAATGATTTGCCAGGAATGGTATGCATACTTCTCTTCTGCCCCATTCTTCCTTGTTCTAATCTCTTCTTAAATAGTTCTGTTTTTCTTTTGCTGAACAGGAATTCCCAAGTAAATAATTCTTTCTTGTGACCGAGGGTGCAGTTGGTGAGGTCTTCTTGCCTTCTGAATGGCCAGTAGCTGCTTCCGGACTCCGGAAAATATGTCGCAAATGAAGACTGCTATCACTCACTCTATAAACAGGACCAGAAAGTGAGCAATTTGGCAAGGTCCCCTCTCTCGGCAAGTCTGATGGATCTCTTTTTTTTCCCCAGTGAAGGCTTGTCATATTTATAAGCCAGTAGTGTTATTTCAGAATCTCCGAAGGAAATGTGCCTCCGTGATAGGGAAGCAACTTGTTTATTCTAGACTTTTCTTCACTATATTTCTAACGTTGAGGAAATTACTCAAAGAGGTTTGGCAGAGTGAAGACAGATGAGTGAGACTGGATTGAGTTTATGGAATGTATTAATTCAACTGATGTTTGTTCAACTCCAAATGAAGGATCCAGCATCCAGGGCACAGATAAGTGCAGGATATTCGCCCTCAGGGAACTTCCTGTCATTAGGGAGGCTGGCACCTGCTTGCAGTTAACAGAAATGTTAGCGTAGTTGCTCATTCTGCTTGGAAGCGGAGTTCGTTACCATTTCATTTAATGAACTTTTCCAAATGGAAAGAAAGCTTTGTACCCGCACGCCCTGGCTCTGGATGTGGAGGTTGAGAGCCCTGTGAAGCTCTTATTTAAACATGAAAATGGGTGTCAGCTTTAGGACTAAGTTCCACTGGGAAGAACTGGGGGAAGGGAGCCATTTTTAGGTGGCATTAGCCATACCACCTTTAATAAAAAACTTCGTGTAACTCAATGTATTTCCTGGCTGGCTGCAGTTACAGAAATATTAACTGTCCTAAAATGTTTATCTTAAAGAGAAACGACTTCAGTATTAGAGAATGCACAGAAAACTAGATTATAAGTAAATACTTTTGTTCACATTGGGGGTTAAAAACATTGGGCCTGCTTCATCATGGTTATTAATGTGGACCTGTGTTGTTACGTTATAAGCAGAGGTTTACAGATCTGAGTTTCAAGGCTTGGCACTTGGAAATGAGCTGAGATTAGCGTTAGAGAACAAGGCCTCTCCTGCCATCTTGGGAGCTGAAATCCCAGGATCTCAACCTGAAAATCAGGGGCTAACACTCTGATATTGATCTGTATACCTTCGGAAATACAGTTTTTAAAAAGAAACAATTTTTAAGACTAGAACATTTTTTTTTATTTCTTCGTACTATGCAAGTTTATATACGTAGCTGTAAAAGGCAAACGTAAGCTCGCTTTTTTAAAGATTCACGTGAAGCTGTTTTCTTTCCGTGAACGGAAGAGTTTGACAGAGAAACACCTTGGTAAGCACACATCGAGAATACGTTATTAGAACATGATTCTTTCTCCATTGGGCCCCATGAGGCCAAGCAGAAAAATCCAGCAATAGAATGCAAATATGAGCATGCTTTCTTTAAGATGTATCATAAACTGTTTTCTGTCAGAGAATGGAAGGATTTGACAGAGAAACACCTTTGTAAGTACACATCGAGAATACGCAATTAGAATATTGTCTCAGTTGGGCCCTGTGAGGCAAGGAGGCATATCCAGCCATAAAAGGCATGCATGTTTTCTGTAAGATTTCATCATAAGCAGTGTTCTGTCAGTGAATGGAAGCATTTGAATAGAGAAACTTCTTTGTAAGCATACATTGACAATATGAAGAAACAATTATTGATCAAAAAAGCCATGCATTATTATGTATTTTTTCCATTCTGCTTGTAATCAGTGTTGCTGTTTTTTCGTCGTGTTTAATAGAGGCAACACATTACTGATCCCAAATACTCTGGGAAGATTTAATCTAAAATACCCCTTCTCTATTCAGGGATCTAATCATTTCTGTTCTTAACTAGGTTTTCATTGGTATTCTCAACTTTTCTAATAAAACGGTTTTTGGGACTTGCAATCTTCTTTCATTTTGTAGTAAGTAGCCTTATTCCTGTTTTATAGATAGAAAAAAATAAAGTACAAAGATGTGTTTGCACTGTTAGAATTCTAATGCCACAGAATACTACTGTAAATGTTTGGTTCCAATTGTGCCAGTTTTACTAATATCACATAGTACAGAAAGCCATAATTTTGTGAGAGTTTTCCCACTGTTCACTGCTTTCTAACTCAGTGGCTTTTTGTTGTTGTTGTTGTTGTTGTTTTTGAGATGTAGTCTTGCACTGTTGCCTAGGCTGGAGTGCAATTGCGTGATCTTCCCTCACTGCAGCCTCCGCCTCCCGGGTTCAAATGATTCGCCTACCTCAGACTTCTGAATAGCTGGGATGACAGGTGCCCACCACCACGCCCAGCTAATTTTTGAATTTTCAGTAGAGACGGGGTTTCACCATGTTTGCCAGGCTGGTCTCGAACTCCTGACCTCGTGATCCACCCGCCTCGGCCTCCCAAAGTGCTGGGATTGCAGGCGTGAGCCACTGCACGTGGCCAACTCAGTGGCTTTTTAAAAAATCGTGGTGAAATATACACAACGAGGTAAACCATTTTAACCACACTGCCGTGCAACCATCTCCACCATCCATCTCCAGAACTTTTTCATCATCCCAAACCAAAACTCGGTAACCATAATACAATTCCTCCCCATTCCCTTCTCCCAGCCCCTGGGAAGCAGCATTCTACTTTCTGTGAGTTTGACTCTTCTAGGGAGCTCATATAAATGGAATCGTACAGTACTTGTCTTTTTGTGACTGGCTTATTTCGCTTAGCGTGATGTCTTCAAGACCTGTCTATGTGGTAGCATGTATGACAATTTCCTTCCTTTTTAAGGCTGAAAAATGCCTAATATCTGTGTTGTATGGATAGACCACATGGCTTATTCTTTCATCCCTTGCTGGATCTGACTCAGTGTTTTTATACTGAGGGTCACAGCCCGCATTTTAAAACGTAAAGTAGATTAGGAAATGTGTGCCCATATGGGGTATTTGTATTGTTTTGTGAGCCCGTGCACACATGTGTCTGTCTGCATTGTGATGTAAAATGTTTTTCTGGTTGTCAGTTGCTGTTAGAAAAGTTTGGAAGCTGTACCCTAAAGATCTTTTAGATGTTAGGTTTCCCTGGCCCCTGTGCCTGCCTGAGCTCCTTTGTGACGTGTGTGGTATTCCCTTGGTGTCCAGGCCATCACACAGTGCTTTTTCTTGACTGTGTTTGTATTGCTCTCCATTGAAAAGCTTCTTGGCCGGGCGCAGTGTCTCATACCTGTAATCCCAGCACTCTCAGAGGTTGAGGCGGGCAGATCTCTTGAGGTCAGGAATTCGAGACCAGCCTGGCCAACATGGTGAAATGCCTTCTCTACTAAAAATACAAAAATTAGCTGGTGTGGTGGCACGCTCTTGTAATCCTAGTTACTCAGGAGGCTGAGGCAGGAGAATCGCTTGAACCTGGGAGGTGGAGGCTGCAGTGAGCCAAGAGTGCACCACTACACTCCAGCCTGGGCGATAGAGCGAGACGCCATCTCAAAAAAAAAACAAAAAAACAAAAAGCTTCTTTAGCGTGTGATCCCCAGTACAGGGAAGTACAAGCTACTTAAACTAGAAATTCTAAAAAATATGCCACCTGCTTTATTCAGTGCAAGAAGCTTAACCCCTTTAGTGCTTATTATTGACTCATACAGATAACTTAGTTTTATGAGCTACTTTCCCAATGGTCGGTAAAGTCAGTGTTTTCATTAAAGGTCAGTATGAAAGACTGTTAATAAAGGAGGTCATATTTCTTTTCCTGGTGTGTTCTCCGATGGGGCACACTGTACCCTAGGGTAATATGATTTTTGGAATAAAACAGGCCTGGATTCAATCATCCTGTTATTTGCTAGCTGTGGCCAATTATACACGAATTACGAAGAGATTTCACCATCTTCATACAGAATTTATAGGGCCATATATGACTTGTGTTGGGGGTGGAGATGCTTTGGGGAAAAGTGTGAATGTAATGTTATTAAAAAATCAAGTAATTTTATTTCCTACCCTTCATACTAACAGTATAATTTCGTAATTCTTTTTCTAGGAGTTGACTGAAATGTACTAATAATCTGTGAGAGGTCTGTGTGCTAAGCCTTTTCTCAGTCTCGTCTCTTGGCCAATTGTGGTCCATTGGATAAAAACAGTATGTCTGGCCTGCTAGTCTGATGGGCTGCCAAGAGGTGGACAGTTGTGATCAGCCACATGGGCTTTGTTCTGACACTTGGGTGACGGTGGAAGCTCCTGATTGGCAGGAACTCTGCAAGTGTATGTGGGAGCAGTGTTTCCCAAATGCTGTTTGCCCAGGGCACATTTGTACTGGTTTGCAAAATGTCCTACTGAAGATCCTTGTTAATAATGTGTAGGTTAAAACAACAACAAAACTAGGGTTCAGTTTTGAGATATTGGATAGATTATATCCACCGTGCATACATATTGTGATGTCTCAGGGTACAGAATGTAAAGAGTAACAGTTCACTCTTACAGATTCAGTTGGGAATAACTGTGTCAGGATGCCTGAGGAATATCACCTTGTTATCTATTTATTACATACTAATTCAAGATTTTTTCTCAGGGTGGCATGCATATTCAGTAGTGTTTGTGTATTGTACTAAACCCTGTTCTTACTGAACTGAGATTTTGCATTTTTTATAAGCAGAGCTTGGAAGCTGAACCCTTAAGTGTCTACCCTGGTCTTGTGGCATTTCATGTTGAGAGCACCAAAATATTCCCTGTGTCATGGGAAGGGTAGATTATGAGAGAAAGAGCAGATAAACTCCTGGGCCCTAGGGTGGTTTTTTTTTTTTGTTTGTTTGTTTTTATATCATGTATCCACAATGATCATTTGGAAGGAATCCAAGTGAATCAAGTGTGAGTCAAACAGCATTGTTTATAGATGCTGTTGTAGTCTGTTCTATGCTGCCGTAGTGGAATACCACAGACTGGGTAATTTACAAAGAAAAGAAACTTATTTACTTATTTATTTATTTTGAGATGGAGTTGCCCAGGCTGGAGTGCAGTGGGGTGATGCAGCTTACTGCAACCTCTGCCTCTGGGGTCCATGTGATTCTCCTGCCTCTGCCTCCCAAGTAGCCGGGACTACAGGCATATTCCACCATGTCCTGCTAATTTTTTTTTTTTTTTTTTGTATTTTTAATAGAGATGGGGTTTCACCATGTTGGTTGTCTAGGCTGATCTTGAGCTCCTGACCTCAAGTGATCCTCCTGCCTTGGCCTCCCAAAGTGCTGGGATTACAGGTGTGAACCACCACACCCAGCCAAAAATGTGTTTCTTATAGTTCTGGAGACTGGGAAGTCCAAGGTCGAGGGCCTGCATCTGGTGAGGGCCTTCTTGCTGCATCATCCCATGGTGGAAGGTGGAAGGGCAAAAGAGGAAGGGGGCCGAAGTCTTCCATTTTATATCCCACTTCCACATTAACAGCATTAATCCATTCATGAGGTGGAGCCCTTATGGCCTCATCACTGTTGCATTGAGGATTAAGTTTCAACATGAACTTTGGGGGACAGAGTGAAACCATAGCAGACAGTTTTCAGAGCTTTCCACCAAGCCTGTTTCTCTCCACAGTGCACTGACTGAGCAGGGCTGCGGCACTGGGAGGTAGCTGGTGTCTGCCATGCACTGGGCTTGGTGCAGGAGTTGAAATGTACTTGTGGGCCAGATGTCACCAAGTGGGCGTCTATATGTGCCTCTGCAATGGTAATTCCACTCTTGCTGCTTTGGTATATATTTGCTATTTCCTAATAATATAGTAATAACAATCTAGAACTGGAAGGAAACTCCTTGTTTTAGAGGGGAGGATCCTTCAGCCCAGAGATCATACAGATATAGTTGGGCAGAGTTGGGACTGGAACTCAAGTCCCTTCTGCTTGTCGTTTTTTTCCAATCTAATATATATGTATATCTACATACACCTATACATAACATATATACACACACACTCTAATATATATATATATATATATAAATTTTTTTTTTTTTTTGAAGAGATGGGGTCTCTGTGTTACCCAGGTTGAAATGCAGTGGCTCTTCACAGATGTGATCATAGTGCACTACAGCCTCAAACTCCTGGGTACAAGCGATCCTCTGGAGTAGCTAGGACCACGGGTGCACACCACCGCACCTGTCTTCCGCCATGTTAAACATAACCCTTCCCCATAGAAAATTCTTAGCACATTTTATAAAGTGGGCTGTGATGCCATGAATCCCAGCCTCAGGAGGGCCATTCTGATTGGTCTCAGGCCTCCATGCTGTAGGTGTTGTGGTGATGCTCTAAGAAGTGCGAGAACTTGTCCTCCTCCAATTGGAGGTTGACTCACGCATGCTTCCTGCAGTCAGGTTGTGTGAGTGTTGCAACCTGGTACCCACCCAGGGCTGGAGAGTCTGCGTGCATATTTGCTTACAAGTAGAGGAGCTGATTTTTGTACAGACAAGTACATTTCACCAGTGCTGCCAGCACGTTCTCTTGGTCTGGAAGGTCAGTAACTGGTACCAGAGTTGGTACGGTTTGTTTTTCATTGTTTGCTCTGGCTTCTGTGCCGGATGAGGTCATTCAGTTGCATACAGTTCCTGCTTTCAGAAGTTGCTAGAGTGTTTCTCTTTGAACTTGAACTGTGGCTCTTTTGATATCCAGAAAGAGAGTTCTTTGTGGGGATGGTTAATTCTTGTTTTGGGTGCTTTTCTTCACCGCTCTAAGGAACTACCACAGTCAGAAGGTGCATTCTTACTGCGATCTTTTTATTTGCTACCTTGGGCTTAAGGAGCCTGCCTATATCTACTGAGGTGAGGTTAGGTCAGTCTCTGTAACCGTTCGTCACTTAGGCCTTGATGGGTGACATGGATGGGGATGACTTCCTGGGCTAACTCTTCTCTTGCTAAAGGATGATTTTTCACCACCTTGAATGCCCATGATTAAAACATAAACAAGAAAATAGATATCTGAGGTAAGAATAAACACTGGGACTTTTCTATGGCTGTTGAATAATGTAGTCCTTCTCTAGAAAATGTTGTGTGAACTTAGACTTGTTAACACAATAGCAGACTTGTATGAGACTAAATAAAAATTATATGTTGTTATAGTGAGTGGTATTGAATAGTGTGTCTTTGCCAGGAAGAGAGCTTTGTAATAGGCTGTGTCTTGTGTAGTTGTGAACTATTTTTTTTTCCTAAAATTTCTTCAGATGCCAACCATGTCTGTCAAACTCTGGATGAGTCGCCTTTTACTTAGCTTTTTAAGAACTCTTTTTGGATTCACTAACTTTTATCTGCATTATTTTATCCATGCTCTATTAAGTGTCTAGGATCCTGATAATTATGCATTTTCTCTGAAGATATCTATTTCCAGTAAAATTTGACTATCTAGTGAAGATTGTAGGCCTGATAATATATTTTGAAGTACTTGTTATGATCTGAATGTGTGTGTCACCCCCAAAAATGCATATGTTGAAATTTGAACCCCTTATGTTATGGTTTTAGGAGGAGGGGCCTTGGGGAGTCCTGAGAATGGGATTAGTGCTTCCAGGAGAAGAGACAGGAGAGCTTTTTTCTCACTCTCCCTGCTGTCCACCATGTGAGGACACAGCCAGAAGGTGGCTGTGTGCCAGTCAGGAAGGGAGCCCTCACCAGACACCCGATCTGCTGGCACCTTGATCTTGGACTTCCCAGCCTCTAGAATTGTGAGAAATAGACAAGTGTTGTTTAAGGCCCCCAGCCTATGGCAGCTTGTTATAGCAGCCTGAGCTAAGACATATTTGATTTTAGCAAAATAGCACTTGATTTGAAAGCATTCTGCTCATTGCCATCACCTCCTCCTTCACAGTTGTGGATTAAAAAAAAAAAAAAATGAACACATGACCACAACAAAACACTGATATGTGCTGAGTTTAATTTACTTCTTTTTTTTTTGAGATGGAGTCTCACTCTGTCATCCAGGCTGGAGTGCAGTGGTGCAGTCTTAGCCCACTGCAACCTCTGCCTCCCAGGTTCAAGCGATTCTTCTGCCTCAGCCTCCCAAGTAGCTGGGATTACAGGAACTCGCCACCATGCCCAGCTGATTTTTGTATTTTTAGTAGAGATGAGGTTTCACCATGTTGGCCAGGCTGGTCTTGAACTCCTGACCACAAGCGATACGCCCACCTCAGCCTCCCAAAGTGCTGGGATTATAGGCGTCAGCCACTGTGCCTGGCCTTTAATTTGCTTCTTATTCCTTGGTTAGGATTAGGGAGAGAATGTCTTGGGTGGCCACTGTGGAAACAGCATTTCCAGTACCTGTCGGTACTTGTCTAAGGAGATTTAATGCTCTCCTTCCTCTTGGGCAGTCATTCTCACAGTGGCTATGGCTTGTCTTGCTACATACACTGTGTAACCACCCTGCCCTGCTGGGCCTTGGTGTACACAGATATTGGGTAAAAATCTAATGTTGACCTAGATAAACATCACACACACACACACACACACACACACACACACACACCCACCACATTTTTTTGGTAGGTACGTTTTCAATGTCGTTTCATTTCAGAAAAAATATGGGCTACCCTTATATTAACATAGGACACTCAATTACCTTGTATGCATTCACATTTATTTACATACAGTTTTTTTCTGTAGCAATGATAAATGCAATCCTAAGTAATATTGGCTTAATATTTGGATGCTTTAATTTATAAAAGCTTTCCCTTTCTATGGCTCATGACAGTGATTTATATATTTATTGGTAGCTCTGTTTTAGAAAAGCGACTGAGTTGCTGGGTGTTTCTGCCCTAGTTTCTGGTTTCCGGGAACCTCTGGGCTCGCCCAGCCTGCCTGGTTGGCTGTTGGCTGAGGCTGGCCAAGGTTCTTGAAACTGTTGACACCTGTGAAGCTCTCTGTCCATCTCAGTAGGCGCGAGAGTCCCAGATCTTGTTTGGGGAAGCACGGCCTTGCATTGAGGAGGGAGAAGGGAAGAAAGAACTTGATTATTTCAGAGAAGAGACAGAGGAACCTTGGTTTCCCTCAAGGTCTTAAGTCTGGAGTACCTGTCACTTCTGCTGACCTGTGAGCTGACTGTGTGAGGGCTCCACCCCTCCAGTCCTGGCCTATTTCCATCTTTCCCAAAACTTGAGAGGAAGGTTACACTGAACAGAAGTACCTGTGTTGTTCTTGAGTTGAGGAATTTTTTTCTGCTATATTTTTTTCTAAATGATGCTAAAGTTTTTGCTGGAACAATATGTTGAGTCTGTCTAGCTTCCGGAGGACTTAGATCACCACATGTTATGATCTTAACGTAACACATGTGTGCATGCATGCATGCACACACACACACATATGTGCACAATGCAAACTGCAGCTCACCACAACACAACATGTACCCTCCCCTTCCTTTCATGGGGATAGGATAACTCGAATCTTCCTTCTGACTTTTATTGTCAAGAAATATTTTCTACACTCTCTATTTCTATATCAGTTGTTGGCAGTTATATCTGCAAACCCATGAGGGTTTTCTGGATTCAGATAACACACATCATTTGTGGAATATGAGGAATTTAAGGAGACTCGAGGGTGGGCAAAGATTTGAATAAACATCAGAACGAGGATGATTATTTGTGAAACAGACCTTTGAGAATTGAGTTCCAAGAGCAACAGACCTTTCGATGAGAACCAAAAAATTCATTCTGTAGCTCAGAAAATTCCTAACTTCATTTCTTCAGGATAAACATGTCATTATACCAAATAGCAATCTCAGTGTGTTAAAATCTACCTATGCACTGTGTCCCACAGACATCGTCAGATGCCAGCTCTCCTGGTGTTGCCATTTATTATGTTGCCGACGATTCTGGGATTTAGGATCCCACCTTCATGCCCTGTCTCTCCCCCTCCTTCCAGGTTCCTGGGACTGCTCTTTGCCTCCCCCTTCCACCCCACCCTCTCTCCCTTCCCCTCCAGCCTCTTCCACCAGGTGCTGTGCTCCTGCCTTGGGATCAGCCAGCTCCCATGCTGCCTCCTTCCCCAGTATCTTCACCTCCTGGTCTAACCCAGAGATCAGCCACCCTTCTCCTACCCGAGTATCTTCACCTCCTGGTCTAACCCAGAGATCAGCCACCCTCCTCCTACCTGAGTATCTTCACCTCCTGGTCTAACCCTGAGATCATCAGCCAGCCTCCTCTTACCTGAGTATCTTCACCTCCTGGTCTAACCCTGAGATCATCAGCCAGCCTCCTCTTACCTGAGTATCTTCACCTCCTGGTCTAACCCTGGGATCATCAGCCAGCCTCCTCTTACCTGAGTATCTTCACCTCCTCGTCTAACCCTGGGATCATCAGCCAGCCTTCTCCTCCAGTATCTTCACCTCCTGGTCTAACCCTGGGATCATCAGCCAGCCTCCTCCTCCCCCAGTATCTTCACCTCCTGGTCTAACCGAGAGCCACTCTCCGAGTTCAGTGCTGCCTTGGCTCCCTTGGGAATGGGAGTGCACCTTCTCCCACCCTGTATGTGCCTTGGGATCTGGAGGCAGGGCTTAGGTTCCTGCCCTCATGGCCACTTTTGGGTCATGACCCTTCCCCTCGCTGCTGCTTTGAGCCTTGTCTCAGTCGTATTCTGTCCTCTACCCTCAGTGCTAGCATTTCGTGGTCGTAGCTCCTCATTCGTTCCTTGAAAGTTTTGGCCCCTGGCTCACAGTCATCTGCTGCAGGGGTCAGTATTTGTCAAAGCTCACCGGGGACTCCATGGCAGCCGGAGCTGAGTGACCAGCAGCCTGGTTTGCCTGAGACTGGAGTGGCAGCAGGAGCTTTTTGGGATGGGGATGTTCAGTCTGAGGACTAAGGAGTTTCACAGGACGCAGGACTTTCAGTGCTCAAACTAGGAGGAGGAGGTTACCCTAAAAAGACACTGTTAATACCAGGAACCGCTTCTGAGCTGAAATCCAGAGATCCTACTCACCAGAAGCTTCTGTCCTTCAGCTCAGCTGACAGATTACAATAAGAACATCAGATTTTTCCCATTCCAGGTCCCTTTCCAACCCCTCTGCTCCTGCTGGACTTTGCCTCTGCTTTTGAATTCCAACATTTCAGCGATGCGCTTGTCAACGCACTGGAATCCCTTACTTCACTCTCCTGGGGGATTGGGCGGCCCACCCATGCCTGTCCCTGGACTTCTGAGTTCTGCCAGAGAAAGTTACACAGTTGCCTCTCTATGATCCTGATCTCTGCCTCACCAGGGCCTCAACACTGCCTGGAAATCAAATTTTCCTCATCAACCCTCTTCCTCTCCATAATGACTTTTCCAACCTCCTCCACACTTCTTAAATCTCTAGGTTCATACTGAGCCCATCCCTCCTCCTCTCATTTCACTCTCGGCAGATTATCTTTCCACAGCTCACGGGACAGTCGTGCGAAGGCCATTCTCTGACCTTCCCACTGCCCCTTTGCAAATCCGCCTGCTCTTGGGCCTGTACTTTTCTCATTTTTCTGTTTATAGTGAAAGAGGAATCTTATTTATTCTCTAGAAATCCATTTCTGCACCACCATTCTCTCCCACCTCCAATTTATTTATTTTTATTTATTTATTTATTTAATTTGAGACAGAGTCTCGCTCTGTCACCCAGGCTGGAGTGCAGTGGCACGATCTTGGCTCACTGCAAGCTCCGCCTCCTGGGTTCACACCATTCTCCTGCCTCAGCCTCCAAAGTAGCTGGGACTACAGGCGTCCGCCACCATGCCTGGCTAATTTTTTTGTATTTTTTAGTGGATACGGGGTTTTACTGTGTTAGCCAGGATGGTCTCCATCTCCTGACCTTGTGTTTTGCCCGCCTCGGCCTCCCAAAGTGCTGGGATTACAGGCGTGAGCCACCGCGCCCGGCCCCACCTCCGATGTAAACCTCTCTCCTGGTATTTCCTTCTCATGAGCATTTACAAGTGCTCAGGTCTCTCCTATCTTACGACAAAAACAGAACCCAAGCTCTTCTTGGAACTCTCCTCTTTCAGTGACCACTTTCTCTTTCCTTCTCTTGATGAAACATTTTGAGAGCATGTTCTACTTTCTGCCTTGTACTATTACCTACTGCTACACAGCAAATGATTGCACACTCAGTATCATAAACAACCTGTGTTGGTTCCCTCACCAGTTCCGTGGCTCAGGAGCCCGGGCACAGCCTAGCTGGTTTCTGTGCTTCAGGCTCTCACCAGGCTGCTGTCCAGGTGGGCGCCAGGGCTGTGGTCTCATCAGAGGCTCGACTGAGGAAGAGTGTTTCCAGGCTCCCTCAGGTCATGGGCAGAATTCATTTCCCTGCAGTTGTGGGACGTGGGTCGCCTGCAGTTCCATGCCGCACAGGTCCTTACTTCCTTTCAGCTGGCAAGGATGGAAGATTGCAGCATGATGGCTTCACAGGAGTGACATCTCATCACCTTTGCTATCTTCTGTTGTTAGAAGCAGGTGACAGGTGAACAGTAGGTGGAGAGGAATGTGGGATCACCTTAAAGTCACTGTGTTACCTACTTATTCTTTCATTCCCCTTTCACTCCTCAATCCATTAGATTCTGTTTTTTATCTCTGCTACTTTAGTGAAACTGATACCAGAGGGTCAGGATTGGCTACAAAATTTTCTGGGCCCAGTGCAAAGTGAAAATACAGGGTTCTTTGTTCAAAAATTAAGAATTTCAAGATGGTAACAGCAAAGCACTAAACGAAGCGTAGGGCCCCTCAGGCATGGGGGCTGTGAAGGTCCCATGCCCATGAAGCCAGTGCTGCAGAGAGGCCTTAGGTCCGCCCTGCTGCGAGTTCCACAGGGCCCTCTGGTTGTGTTCCTGCTTGGCCTCTCAGCAGCATTTGCCAGCTGGGATTTACCACTGTGGAGCGCATCCTCCTCTGTGAAACATCCCCCTGCCCTCTGAGCGCCTGAGACACTCTCCCCTGGGTTTCCTTCTCTCGCTCGATTATCCCCTTCAGCCTCCTTTGCAGCCTCCCCTTCCTCTCCCCACCCCTTTGTATTTGGGTATTTTGAGGACACTTTTGCCACCCTGCTGAGGAATATCAGCAGTTTCAGCCGCTTCGTTTGCTGTAGGATTTTGGCTGTCATATCTACGTATCCAGCCCATACCTAACTTGTGAGCTCAAGCACCTATGTCAGTGCATCCTTTATAGTCTTGCATGCTTTGCAGGTATCTAAAATGCAGTGAGTCTGTAACACATTTCCTTGTTTTCTCTGATCCATTGAACTGGTTCTTCCTCAGTGTCCTCTATTTCAGCACTTGGCCTCATTCTTTCCCCGGGGAGTCTGGGTTTGTATCTGTGTGCTAACCCCAGGCTTGAGTCCCATCTTTCTTCTGGCTCATCTTGTGCTCCAAGCCCATGCGCCTATGTCTGCCGAGGGTTCTCCCCTTGGACTGCATTTCATCAAATGCTCTCCCTGGACTTCTGTGGTCTGTTCTCATGGTGACCTCGGCTTCCTCTGTTAAAACCCAGCACACTTCATTGCTACTCCTTTGTCGAATGCCTGCTTCCCCCAGTAGAAAATAAGCTATGATAAATAAGTCCACGAGGCAGGGAGTTTTACTGCTTTATCCTCAGTGTCAAGACATATGCCTGGCACAAGCTGTACACTCAATAAATACGTGTTTTAATGAAAGAGTTTGTTTTAATTTTCAGCCCAATTTTTTAAAGAATTAAATTGATTTTTTAGAGACAGGGTCTCGCTATTTTGCCCAGGCTGGTCTTGAACTCTTGGGCTCAAGTGATCCTCCTGCCTCAGACTTCCAAGTAGCTGGGATTACAGGCATGAGCCACCATGCCCAGCCCAGCCCAATTTTTCAAGTGTGACCATTTTGTTGTTTTAGAACGAAAGTGTAGAAAATACTATATATGGAAGAGTAGGACAATGGTATAGTAGGATTCCTGTTCTTGAGATATTAGAAATATCTGTAATGTTATAATAGGTTTGGGCCTTTCAGTTGGATTGTTAGTAATTAGAAAGTAAAGCTGTAACAGGAAATAAATGGGTGTTTCCTTATTTCTGTTGCGATCTGGGCACTAACAGGTGGAAGGAAACTGGTGCCATTTGCCCTGCAGAATTCACAGAATTAACTTGTGCAATTTGGGTGGGAGGAAGTCAAAATAGGTGATGATTAACCATGGAGATGAGTGTATTTCAGATACTGTCATCTGAATCAGTTTGCCCTTACCACAGCAAAAATGTTTTTATAATATTTTATCTTTTTTTTTTTTTTTTAAACAAATAAGTGGTGAGGTAGTCATGGTGAGAGATCTGCATCTCTGATTCTTGGGGGCACTGTTTCCTCACAAACCTGCAGTATCTGCTTTGAAAACTATTTTGATATAGAATGGTGAAATGGATCAAGTATTTGGGGGCCTAATTATTCAGAGACTAAATGTGGCCGGAAGAGGAAGAATTCTACCCAAGAAAGCTGCCGCTGATCTGCTCAACGTCTCGGAGCAGTCTTTTTTTAAGCAGAAGTCAGTAACAAGCAAACACAATGTCAATGGATTTATTAATCTGTTAAACTCTTCATTCTGTTACCTGCTGGGTCTCAATCTTTTTGACCTCAGGACCCCTTTACACTGTTTTAAAAAAGTATTTGAGAATCTTAAAGAACTTTTTTTTGGTTATATCTATTGATATTTTACTATGTTAAAAATTGAAACTGAGAAATTTTAAAAGTTCACTCAAAAATAACAAACAATAATAAACCTGTTACATACTAATAAAAAGGCCATTTATAATGAAGAATAACCTTACTAAAACAAAAAAAAGTATGAGATGAATGTTTCACATTGTTTTATTTATCTCTTTAGTGATTTTTTAAAGTGAAAACCAAAAAAAAATTTAGTGAGAAGAGCGACATTGTTTTCCATTTTTGTGAATCTGTTTCATAACCAGCTTTGATAGAAAATAGCTGTGTTCTCATGTCTGCTTCTGTAATCAGTCTGTCGGGGTAGGTTGTTTTGGGGGTCATGTATGCAGAAAATCTAGTTTCACACAGTTACATCATTGGGAAAGGCCAGAGAATTGAAATAACCTTTTCAGATAATTACGGACATTCTTCCTTGATACCACACCAAAACCTGATGAGTGGTAGTGTCTGAAAGGTTAGTTACAATATTCTGAAGCCATAGCAATGATCTTTCCTACTCTGTTACATTAAAATTTGTCTATCTTGCATTTTGAATAGGACGATAGAGGAATAGTTAAGTCACCTATAATACATTCATGTAATGGCAGATTTTGCAGCCATATATTGAAAAAGTTATTACAGGTAAAATGCTTACAAATGTAATAAATTATCTATTTAATATCCCAATTTTGCTAAAAAATGAAAAGAGGTGTGTATTGTATTAGTTGAAAGGAAATGTATCAAAATATAAATATTTTAAATGATGCATTCATGGGGGAAATTTTCTTTATACTTTTCTGTATTTTCCAAATTTTGTGTGATCAGCACATTGCTTTTAAAATCAGAAGAAAAAAAATAAGTATTTTTTGTTACGAGAGAAATGTCTGTTAAACTGTTTCCCTCATCTGTAGGTTGCCTTCTACGTGTAAAACCCCAGTATTTCCAATTTGAGTGGTAACAAAGATCTGTTTTCTCCCTCAAGTTTTTATTTGTTTAACAGACTATCGTAACCTTTCTGTGGCTGTTTTAAGCTTCACAGTTTTTCCGCTTTATTTCAGTAGTAATTCATTGATTGAATAGACAAGTTTTGACTTGTTCAAGAAAAGTTGCATAAATTAAACTTTCACATGTAGCAGAGACATAATTTGCTTTTTCTCATTTCTGTTATAGCTCAGGCAAGTTCTATTTCTTATCTAAGTGAAATGGCAAAAGAATATCTTGTCCTATGGGATAACAGAGCTACTCTCATGGTTGAGAAATAACATGGAAATTAGCATGCAATCGACTTCTGAGTTATTGTGTCTGAGCTGTTTGCCAGTGGTGTGAGTGTCACAGTTTTATGGCTGGAAGTTCAAGTGGCTTCAGAAATGCAAAGGGCAGCTCACATCTGGGGATTAGTTCCCTGCTTACCCCTGGATTTAGAAAGGATGTTTGCAACTAATAATGTGGCTGACGTGGTATTGTCGTAAAGGATTGCTACTTCCAGAATTTTGTCTTTTGTGGACAGGCCTCCAAATTTGATGATCATCTGTTTTCCTGCAAGTGGAAGATTTCATCATGTTTGTATTTCTTTGTTTTACATTTCTTATGATATAGTTGATAATTAAGATGCCTACAGAAGCTACAAAGCACCCACAAAGCAGGAAATTAGCAACTCTGCCTCTACCACTTGTAGTAAAGCTTGAAGACATTATCACTGACTTCTCCAGCTGAATGTATTGTTCTGTGGCTTTAGTTAAATGTGTCAGTGACTCTCAGGGTTTAGAATCTCTCCCAAGACTGTTTAGGAAGGTGCATCACCCTTTGAAGTGTAGACTGTGATGGAAAACTACTTAATTGCATATTCTAATATTGTTTTAGATTAAAAGACCATTCTGTCCTCTGCTTAAAACAATTGAGGATATTATATTTGAGGGCATCCCTACTGGTTAATATCATCATTACATTTGAAAATGTTCAAATTTACTTTCCATCACTAAGTATGAGTTGAACTTTTTGGAGTAGAAAATGCACTCTAAGGCCGGGCGTAGTGGCTCACACCTGTAATCCTACCACTTTGGGAGGCCAAGGCGGGTGGATCGGTTGAGATCAGGAGTTTGAGACCAGCCTGGCCAACATGGTGCAACCCTGTCTCTACTAAAAATACCAAAAATTAGCTGGGCGTGGTGGCACATGCCTGTAGTCCCAGCTACTCGGGAGGCTGAGGGAGGAGAATCCCTTGAACCCTGGAGGCGGAGGTTGCAGTAAGCCAAGGTCATGCCACTGCACTCCAGCCTGGGTGACAGAGTGAGACTCTGTCTCAAAAAGAAAATAAGAAGAAAATATACTCTGAGTATACCTAATGGTTTATTCTCTTTTATTGTTGAATCCACTATTTACATTTCTTTCTTTCTTTTATGTATTAGACTGGACTAGGAAAGGTTTACAGATCTAAATAAGGAATGAGGAGTGTTATTATCATTGTATTGCCATGACCACAAACTGCGGGGCCTCTCGCCCTTGCCCTCCCCCCTGTGGTTTTGAGGGTAGGAAGCCTTACCATAACCCAGTTCCTGATCATGCCGCCTCCCTGCCGCTTACCTGGTCAGGCCTCTTCGCTGTCCCTACCTACCCCAGGCCTCTGTGTTTGCTGCTCCGTCTGCCCAAAGCTCTTTCCCTTGGTAGCCCTTGGCTATGTCCCTCACTTCCTTCAGGTGTCTGCTGTCTTCTCAGCGCGGTGTTTCATGAATATCCACAATAGTGCACCCTGCCACTCCATTGCCTTACCTGTATTTCCCTGCATGGCACTTTGCACGGCCTGATACTATATTTCCCTCGGTTTGTCAGTTGGCTGCCTGCCCCTGAATGCAGGCTCCCAAGAGGGCAGTGGCTTTGTGTCCTTTGCTGCTAGGCCCATGTTGTTGTGAACAGTGCCTGGCACTTAATAGACACAGACTAAATACTTGATGAATTAATGGGAGGATGAATTCACCAGATTCCCTCTTGTGGGTGACTCTACACAAGATGGCATTTACTCGCCAGGTGTCCGGCTCCCTTCAAAAGACAGAGAATGATGGCTGGTTTCGTTGTAGCTTGACTCAGTGGCACACCCTGTGCCTGACACCCAGTTGACAGATGTGTAGGGAACAAAATTATGACGGGATGGCCACACAGTTGGCTGTTTGTACTCATTGCTGCCAGCTGTCTCCCAGAACAGTCATCTGCTCTGTAGGGGGAGAAACAGGGACATGAAAAGCCCTGGAAGGTTGTCAGGAAGCAATTTTAAATTTCTAATATGTAAACATCGGGGCTTTGGCATATTTTGAACCATTTTGATGATAGGAATGGAGGTGGTAGGAGCCACCCTGATTAAGTTCTTGTTGAGAATAAACTGGTGCACCAGACATTTACATAGGCTGAATCAATGTTGATGGCAGCCGTGTTTTTAATCCATGGGCCTAAAACAGTGTCCCTCATACCTGTCTCTTGCTGAGGCCCCTGTCGCAGGTGAGCCATGTCTGACTTCCGAGCCTTCCATCGACTGCTCAGTCCACGTCTTCAGCCCTATTTCCCAAGCTTACCTAGTGAGTCCTCCTTGACTCAGGCTGGTTCCTCCATTGTTTCTGCCACCTGCAGGCCATTGGTGCTCCTTGAATACCCTGTGGTGTCATCGCTGACTCGTGCCTCCAGGGCTTTCCCGCTCTGACGGCTCTGTGTTTCCTATTGCTTCATATAGCTTGCTTCTGAATTAGCATGCGATATGTGACACTCATATGTTATGTATCTTGGTTTAGTTTTTACAGAAAGATGAAAGACTCTTAAAAGGGATCTTGGAGTTGTTCTTGTACATCTTTTATATCTCCTAAGCCTTTGATGGGCACTTGTTCCAAATGGGAAAGAAAAAAAAGATGAAAAAAAAAATAAGCCACCCAGAATGCAGATGGGACAAACTGTTGGTGTTAGAGCATGGTGGTCACCCAGGCCTAGAGTGTGGGGTACACAAGGACCACTGAACTAAAACTCTCTGATGGTCTGGATCAGGCTATTGAGTAGAGCAACGGGTTGTAGAGTGCCTGGCACGCAGGTTGCAATGAGATTGGGGAAGCAAGGGTTGTGCGTTTGTTAATTCAGAGATTGTATGAAAATGGAAAGAATTAGGAGGAGGTTGAGGTTTATACTAGTATTATTCTCTCCACATTTAGAGAAGGCTCTTACAGTTCCTTTAATCCAATACTACACAAAAAAGTCCTCTGAGAGGCCGGGCGCGGTGGCTCACGCTTGTAATCCCAGCACTTTGGGAGGCCAAGACGGGCGGATCACGAGGTCAGGAGATTGAAACCATGGTGAAACCCCGTCTCTACTAAAAATACAAAAAAAAAAAAAAAATTAGCCAGGCGCGGTGGCTGGCGCCTGTAGTCCCAGCTACTCGGAGAAGGCTGAGGCAGGAGAATCACGTGAACCCAGGAGGCGGAGCGTGCAGTGAGCCGAGATTGCGCCACTGCACTCCAGCCTGGGTGACAGAGGGTGACTCCATCTCAAAAAAAAAAAAAAGTCCTCTGAAAACTGAGTGAGAAGCTGCGGGCTTATAGGACTGAAGTTTGGTGCTGAAATTGCTTAGGGGACCCTTTTCAGTTGCCTCCTCTTTTTTTTTTTTTTGTAAGAGAACCGGGGGATTTAAATCTCCCTGGTATGGTTTCCATTAGAATGGAAGCTCTTTGGCAGGTCTGCCAGGACCATTTATCACCTTGTCCCTGGTACTCAGACCTCGGTGCTGGCAAAGCTGGGCTCATGAAGGCTGGCTGCGCAGGTGGGTGGCTGGCTCACGCGCTTGGTCCTGGAGGTGGGGGAGAAGAGATGGTCCACCAAATGGTTCTTGCAGTTCTCCCCGTCCTGCCCTCTGGACATGGCTGTGTTGTGGCACAGGCCGTGTTGTACTTGTGGCTGATCTTGATCGATTCTCTTCTCTGCTCCCTGTGCTGGAGCTAGACACCAGGTGTTTTTTTTTTGTTTTTTTTTTTTTTTTTTGAAGTTCCACAGGTGATTTTGATGTGTGAGCCGTGGTTGAAAGCCACAGCTGGACTGCGTTGGAAGGGAAATGGAGGTCAGCTTAGGCCAGTTGGTTCACATGGAAATCAACAAAACCAGCGTGGCTTTGAAGGATGTATAATTCTGTTACTCTTTGTTGGACCCACACAACTCAGCAGTTGAAATTTATTATTAGTTTTTTTTTCTCCTGCGTTTTCATCTCCTAATTTGGGCTCCCCTTCATATAGAGCTTTTGGAAGCAAGTAAGAATTCAAGTTCATCAGGCACATTTTCACTACACCTGGCAGAACATATTAAGGTGTTGTGTTTTATAAAATCCAGCCAGAAACTATAGGTGGTCTCCAGCTCCACACACTTAGCAAGGCCCCTGCTCAACTCCCCACCCAACCCCAGTTTTCCAGTCCTTCCTGCGTTCACCAGAGGCACAGTCAGGATCACCTTAGACGCTGAGTTCAGAAATGGAGAAGGAATACAGTTAAAAAAAAAAATCAAGATCAGGTGAGCAGTAGCCAGATGGCTTCTCCACACAACTCTCTTTCTGGATGCTTCTGGAAATTGCCATCCAATTTTGGTCATTCTTTTGGCTGTATAATAATTCAAACGGTGCTTTGTGAATAAGTTACCTTTTAAAAGTTATGCATTTTAGCATCTATAGGAAGGTCAAGGAATTATTTTACACCTCAGGGTGAAATAATTTAATTAGGTATCTTGTTTACCCTGAGTCTTCTGAAAGCTAGAGGGAGCAAATTGGAGCTTTTGAAAGAGTGTGTGTGCGTGTGTGCGTGTATGTGTGTGTGTGCGTGCACGTATGTGTGACTGTGCGCGTGCACGTATGTGAGTGTGCGCATGCACATGTGTGTGAATGTGAGCACGTGCACGTGAGTGTGTGCACACACACACTGGTGGGGAGGCAGGTGATGATGGGTTGTGTCATGAATGCCCAAGTCTGGCGGTGCATTTAATGGAGTAGTCCAGGGAAGCAGGAGGAAACTGAGGAACAGGGAGGGCAAGCTTGAGGAATTAAGGAATTACCTGGACTCACGGGGAGGAGCTCAAAAGACGAATTCGATCTTTTTCTAAAAACATTTTAAACAGTAGTTTGCCTGACTCCAAATCAGGAAGAGACAGCTTTACCTCATCTCTCCTGCCTCCTAGCCTGTGGGCTCCATTAGCAAGGGATGAACTATCGAGTAAGAGCTGGCACTCTGGCATCAGGTAGACCTGGCTGGGACCTGGCTGGGTCCTGGCTAGGCCCCGGCTAGGCCCCTCCAATGGCATCACCATGGGCAGGCTGCTAATCCCCCTGGGCCTCAGCTACTCCTCCGTCAATAAGGATAATAATACCTCCCTCGCAGAACTGTTGTGAAGGTTGAGATGAAATATGAGAGTGTTTAAAGCAGTGCCTGGGATGCAGTAAGCACTTCGAATGTTAACCAGTAGTAGCAGTCATATTTTTGTGGATTACCTGGGAACCAAACCATCATCATTGATATAATTTCTATTACCAGTTTTAAACAGTTAAATGACAAAGAATCCCATTTTAATCAAGACATTACAGTAGAGCACAGACCCAACCTGGTTGGGTACTTAGTAGGGAGAAATAGAGGCTAGAAATTAATAATTATGCCCAATACCAGTGAACAGCTGTTTTCGCACTGTGACCAGTTTAGTACAAATAAAAATGTTTATAGACTGCATCTTTTCTCCATGCACAATTTATTGAGGTATTTCATCACTTTAACAGATGATAATTGAACATTTAGAATTCCTAGCCTTGAAGATCCAGCGAGGTACAAACCAGAAATGGCCCTGGCCCCTAGGTAGCTAAATATCTAGAGGGGAGAAGATAAAAAACACACATGGGGCTGGCAATAAATTAAACAATTACAGATGGTGAGAGTTGGGAAACAAGCTTAGGACAGAGACTGACCACGGAGGGACCCGTGTTGGATTGTTGATCCGAGAAGGTGATGTTGAAATACAGACTGAGAAGGTGAGGAAGAGCCAGGGGTCAGGAGAAGTGTGGGAAGGGGGCTGGCTTGGGAGGGTCATGCGCTCCAGGTGGGGACATCATGTGCACCAAGACATGCAGCCCAGAAAGAGTTTGGTGTGTTCCAGGAATGAAGGCAGGCCTGTGTGGCTAAGGCGCAGGGAGCAAGGTGGCGGAGAGACTGGCATGAGGCATGAGAAGCAGGCCCAGGTCAGATCAGGTGGGGAGTGAGGGCCGCTGCCAGGGCATTGGAGAAGCTATTGAGAGGCCCTGACAATCCCATGGGGGGAAAGTCCATTCTTAGTGCACGTTTCCTGCTTTGAACTTTTTCTATTCAATAACGAAAACCTGGGTGCTATATTTGTTTTAGCCACAAAACTATCTGGGTATCTTTGAGAAGTGGCACTTGCTGAGGTGGCCTTCTAAATCTTTGCCTGCTGTTCCATGGCAGGATGCCTTGTGAAGCCAGGTGTGGCTTGTGGCCTAGATGGACCAGGGAGATCTCAAGTGAGGGGCAGTAGCACGGAGCACACAGTAGGTGTCAGTCAAGTCTAAACGTTGCGCACGGCTTTGTTTTGTCCAGAGCTGAGCTCTCGTTAGGTCGGGGCTTGACAAATATGAATATTGTGGCCTGGGCTGCTCTCTGGCATGCTGAGTGCTGACTGGTGTATTTCCTTTTTCAGCCAGAGAATCCTGGTCAAGCCCTGAACAGTCCAGAAACTCTGAGGTCAGCATTTCTAGATCTTCTGTGCATTTGGGAGGAGTCACCATTGATGACTTTATCAATTGTAAATTTCCGATATCAAATTACTGGCCTTCCAGTCAGTCGGTTCTGATGACAGGAAGGACGAGGGCTCTGGAAAGTCACTTTAAGCTAGTCATTGTTAGTCAAATAGTGCTGTTTTTGTATATCGAGTATTGAGAAGGGAATGTGCTTGGTCTGTCTTCTCTCTCTGCTTCGTCACCTGCCAGTCCTGAGGGCCCCAGGCAGCAGTGCAGCTTTAATGTGGATTCCTATGGATCAGAGGTGTCCTAGGGCTCACGTTGTTATTCTGCATTGCACTTGCAGCCAGGTAAAATCAGATTTCTCCTGTTTCCCCTTTTGGGGGTGGGGTGTGTGGATTTGAAAGGCCTGTCACGTGTGGCCTGATTGCACTGCCCAGTGTGTGTGTGTGTGTGTGTGTGTGTGTGTGTTAAAGATGTCTGCAAGTTTAGCACTGGCCTGTCCTGATTAGTGAGGACCTCTGATTGCCTAGGCCAGGGCTCAGGTGAGAATACTTTGATGCTGAGGGGTAAACTTGCCTTCTGAAGGCACAGAGCCTCCTGGGTGGCAGAGCAAGGACTGGGCCTGGCGTTTCTGACGTTTAGACCTGTGTTCTTTGATAAAGCCATGATGTTTAATTGTGGAGAAAATGGTTCTGCAGCAGATGCAGTGAGGAAACAAATAATGCCCAATTTTTCCAAGTCACTGAATCAAATCTTTATCTCAGAAGTGAACATTTTAAGAGAAAACAAAATTTATTTCTTGCTAATGGCGTGGGAACAACTTATTTAAAAAAATGAGAGTGAGCAAAATAAAACTAGATTAAAGACAGAAGTAAAATGTTTAGAATAGTTTGTTTTATAATCAGGCA